>NC_000002.12:198095678-198398708 GCF_000001405.40 Homo sapiens | reverse complement strand
GATACAGTCGCTACACAGGGGTGGCTCTCTGCCGAGCAATTTTGCTACATTGCTCTAGTGAGCTCCTTCTCCCTTTCTCCACCAGGACTATTTGCGTTTCTCGTCACATTTTCTTCCAGACCCCTCCCTGTTCCTTTCTCCTCAAAATTCATCAGAAAATCGACGTCATCAGCTGGGAACTTCCACATCTTTCCAAACCGCCATATTGTTCTCTCGTCCACCTGCCATCTCCTCCTCCTCCTTCTTTCTCCCCAGTGCTCCCAGCCCCCTTACAATTGAGGAAGTGTCTTTCCTCTTGCCAAACCCAGGCCTTCCACATTGGTTCTGGATCCCATCCTCTCATATCTTCTCACCTTTTCCAGGATTTCCTGTCTTCAGTTATCCTCTGTCACCTGAATCTTCAAATTCTCCCATTCTACAAAATCCCTGAGCATTCAAACTCATCTGGGTACCATTTCAACCAAACTTCCCCTGACACCTATATTCACCTCTGGCTTCCACACCACTTTTGCTTCTCTTTATAGCTAAGCATTTCAAAAAAAAACAGAACTACTTAAGATGTCTCAACTACCTTTTTTTACAACAATAAAACTATTTGGAACATATAAAATATACAGTAATTTTCAAAAAGGCAACGACAACCTAAAACCCACTTCTTTAACTGCCATTAACATTTTGGAAACTTTTCATGTTTCAGTTCATACGTCTTGAGTCCATGAATATCTATAATTTTCATATTTCATTATTATCACCTTGTTTAAATGTAGGGTTTTATTTTCCCCTCCTGCCCCTCCAAAATGACAATATACCCCACTTGTAGCCAATGTTAACCTGGTCTGAATCCTTCTTCCTTTCTTGATGGAGTTTCGTTCCTGTTGCCCAGGCTGGAGTGCAATGGCACAACCTCGGGTCGCTGCAACCTCCACCTCCTGGTTCAAGCGATTCTCCTGCTTCAGCCTCCCAAGTACCTGAGATTACAGGCGCCCACCACCACGCCCAGCTAATTTTTTGTATTTTTAGTAGAGACGGGGTTTCTCCATGTTGGCTAGGCTGGTCTCAAACTCCTGACCTCAGGTGATCCACCTTCCTCAGCCTCCCAAAGTGCTGGGATTACAAGCGTGAGCCACTGCACCCAGCCTGAATCCTTCTTATAAGACTTATAAAAGTCTTCTTGTTAATATAATTGCTTTCAAAGATATATATGTACATTATATGGGTTTTCTGAAACTTTTTTATCCCCCATGTAACAGTAGATAGCAGATATTTCTCCAAGTTAACAGAGATACATCAAATTGATTCTTTTTAACAGCTGCATAATATCTCATGTTGAAAATGTAGCACAAATTATTCAACACTTCTCTAGTGATAGGCATTCACTTGATTTCTAGTTTTTGAAGGGCTTGTTTCTTGCTCCCTCAAATACTGATACAAACTAATTATTCTTGTATATGCATTCTTACATATTGCATCCTTTATTTTCCCAGGCTGTCTGGTTTCATAGCTGGTATTCTTAATTTTGTGTTATTTTCTTTTAATTTTTTTCCAGTGTGATAAATATAAATTGATATGTTCTCTTCCTTTAATTCCATTTTTTTCTTAATACTAAAGTGGTGAAACATCTTGTCAAATATTTATTTCTCATTTAGGTATGTCCTTTAATAAAGTATTGATTCATGTTTGTATCAGTTAGGGATTAAATTGAGCCTTTAAAAGAAAGTCCAAATAAGAGTGACGTACCAAGGACTTATTTTCCTTTCATACATAAACAAGAACAGAGATGAGCAGCCCAGCCCTGCTGCAGTGGCTCCCCTAGATCACCAGGGACCTGGGCTGCATTGAACTTTCCCACTCATCCCTCCTTGGGACATGAACCCCTCTCCACATTCACAAAGTAGCTACAGAGCTCCAGTTAGTCAGAGAAGAAATAAAGTAAAATGCAAAAGGCAAGAAGCACCTTTTCAGAAGCCCACATAGCAACCAGTGCTCCATGCCTCCTTGGCCAAGACCACATGACAAGGACACTCCAGTAGCAGGGGAAGGTACAGTCTCTTAGCTGGATCCATGCCACCCTAAATGCAATTAGTGCTCTAATAGTAAGAGAAAGAAAAAGACAGAATGGTCACTAGATAGACAACTGGTCATTAGAATAATATTCTTTGCTCATTTTTTTCTGTCTCATTTTTTGCTCATTTTTGTTTGTCTTCTTTTCATGAATTTATAAGAACTCTTTCTCTGTGTAGCTATTAATCCTTTACTTGCGATCTGTTTGCATATATTTTTCCCTAGAGCAATCCTAGAGCTCTTTTGTCTACTGACTCAGACATTAATTCAAGTATTATTTAGTGAGTTCCTTCTATGTACCAGGCATTGCACTAGGAAAATAGTAAGGAATGAAACCAGCAAAAATCCCTGGGGCTTATATTCTAGTGGAAGAATATAGAGGAAAAATAAAATAAAATGCACAGTATGTTAAATGGTAATAACTCTGATGAAAACCATAAAGAAAAAAGGACAGGGAACACAGAAATACAATTTTAAGTAATGTGGTCAAAGTCCACTACTGAGAGGATGGCATTTCTAAAAGAAGTTGAAGAGATGTGGGAATATTTGAGCCATCAAACTATCTACAGGAAGAGAGTGTTGTAGAGCAAAGGACAGGGTAATAGGAGATTCATTTTAGTGTGTTAAAAAGAGCATAGCATGTAGGGTAATAGAGTCACTGTGAGGAGTTTGAGTTTCACTTCTGTTGATGTGGACTACCACTGGAGGGTTTTTTGTGGAAATACATGACCTAATTGTTTAAAGGATTGCTCTGACTGTTCTGTGGAGGATAGACTGTTGAAAGTATAAAGACACAAAATGAGCCAGGTGCGGTGGCTCATTCCTGCAATCTCAGCACTTTGGGAGGCTGAGGCGGACGGATCACAAGGTCAAGAGATCGAGACCATCCTGGCCAACATGGTGAAACGTTGCCTTGTCTCTACTAAAAATACAAAAATTAGCCGGGCATGGTGGCAGCCATCTGGAATCTCAGCTACTTGGGAGGCTGAGGCAGGAGACTGCTTGGACCCAGGAAGCAGAAGTTGCAGTGAACCGAGCTAGCACCGATGCCCTCCAGCCTAAGTGACAGAGTGAGACTCCGTCTCAAAAAAAAAAAAAAAGAAAAGAAAAGAAAAGAAAAAATGGGAGACCACTTAGGAGGCGATGGTAACCCAGATAAGAGTATGTAAATGTGTGATAAGTGGTTGGATTTTGTACATATTTTGAAGATAGATCAACAAAGTTTACTGTTAGATCGAAGGTGGGCTGGAATAGAAGAAAGTCCAGAAAGACTCTAAGATGTTTGACCTAAGCAAGCAGAATAATAGATTTACCAGTAATCGCATTACAGAACGCTTTGAGTGCGACAGATGTGGGGGGTGCTGAGAATCTGGAATTGAGGGCTGTGGTCAGAGCTGAATACATAAAATTTTGGAAGTTTTCAATGTAAAATGTTTTTCAATGTGATGAGATTAGGTGAAATTGAGTAGGCAGTAAATCTAGTTAGAAAACAGAAAATATCCAAAGAACTGTTTGTATGGTAGAAGAAAAAATAGAAAAGTAGGTGTGTTCTATCTGGGAGAGTGCAGCCACTCCTCTTGGCTCAATTATTCTTACATGCTAATGACATCCGACTGCATATCTCCAGCAAAGGGGTTTCTCTTCCAACAATCAAGATGCTTTCTCACAACTCCAACGCAATCTAATGAAACTTCTACAATGCTTTTTCTTATCCCACACTCCAAACTCCTTCATTCCTAAATTTTGCTCAAGTTGTTTGTTGCCAATGATTCCAAACTATCATTAAACTCTTCTTGAAGTATTATTACTTTTATTTTAAGAAATTTTAGTTACCCTTTATGGTATACATTCTCAGGCACTCTTTAAATTAAAGTATATGTTCTGTACAATTTACACATTTCTGCAAGGCATAGTAGCTCACTCCTGTAATCTCAGCACTTTGAGAGGCCAAGGCTGGTGGACCACCTGAGCTCTGAGGTTTGAGACCGCTTGATCAACATGGCAAAACCCCATCTCTACCCAAAAAATACAAAAATTAGCCAGGCGCAGTGACTTGCACCTCTGGTCCCAGCCATTTGGGAGGCTCAGGTGAGAGGATCGCTTGAGCCTGGGAAGCAGAAGTTGCAGTGAGCCAAGATTGCACCACTGCACTCCAACCTGGGTGACAGAGTGAGACCTAGTCTCAAAAAGAAAAAAAAATTACACATTTCCTCTTATCTTCACCTTACCTTATCTCAGGGTCTGTTTTTATCAACACATATGTTGTTTGACTACAGGTACTTGGTTAATCTTTTATCTAAATTACTTACATCTGCACCTGTCTGTATTTTGCTCTGATAAAACAATGATGTTGTGCTTGGTTTGGGATTTTAGGGTTTCACTATTGATGTCCATCATATTGTTGTATGCACATATTGTAAAAGGAAGAGAAATAGACACTCTTCAATATATCTACCATTATTTCTTTATTGAAAAGATATCATAGAGAGTTGGCTCAGGAGGAATCCCAAAGAAACATCACAATTCTTCAAGCAGAAGAAAGTGCAATCATTAGGATCCCAGAAACCTTACAGCAAGAGGCACAGAGTTATAGATAACTGCATTCACATACACACATGTAAACATGAAAGTCTGCAGCAACCCTGCTCATGGCCTAGGTCTCACTAATGGATAGATTAATGTCCACCTCTCAGAGCTAGAATTGGAAAACCAACTAATTGTATATATCATGATCCAATCTATTATCCATCTGGCATTCATATAATACAGTGGTCTTCAAATTATTATGTGCTTGGTGATATATAAACACATGGACACGTGCGCCTGAAAAAAGGTTTTTGCAAATCATTCCTTTACTATAGAAAGTGTTTCTTATATACTCTATTCTATATCTTTTCTTAGATTGTTGGTTATTCTTCCCTAAATTTATAATATTACATACTCATGATTACTTCCTGCAATTTGAAACAAACACCAATTTACTGTGCCTTTTAGTATACTAAAGCAAAATAAAACAATAATAGCTGCCATTTTTCAGAATGTATGCACAAGGAACTATGCTAAGCACTTTACGTGGATTATCTCATCTAATCCTTAAAATAACCCTAAAAGTTGAGTACAATTATTATTTCCTATAGAATGTAGAGAAGAGAACTTGAAAATGAGAATGGTCAGTTAGTTTGCCAAAGGTGACACAACATAGCCATATCATTCTAGACACAATAGTTGATGATAATTGCTACATCCTATTACCTCCTATCTCATCCTCTCATCCAATCATAGCTCACAGTAGCCTCAAACTACTAGGGTCAAGCAATCCTTCCACCTCAGTCTCTCTAGTAGCTGGGATTACAGGTGCACACCGTTATATCCAGCTGATTTTTCAATGGACAAACATATCTTGAAAAATATAAGTCTCCAAGATGCATGAATTAGAAATCCTTAGTGAGACTCTTCCTTCCCCATGTGCCCTCCATCCCAATAGCCCTTCCAGTCCTTCTTTTAGGAGGAGCTGCAGTGGTCCCTCGTGGTGCTTCTGATTCTCCTCATTCTATATGTCTCCATATATTGACTGGTATCCTTTGTTTTCATATATTATCTGCTTGCTCATAACGATCCTAAATGCTTATCTTTTTTCATCACCTTTCTGATTAAATGCCTGCTGCTAATTGGCTAATTTAGTATTCCTGGTTAAATTCCTGGAGGGAAAGAATCTGTTTGGCTCAGTTCATCTTCTCACAGCTAGTAATGGCATCAGTTTGTGCTTATTCTTTGCACCCTTGCATATGTGTTCCAACCCTGTGTTTACAATAGTCGTGGCACCTTATCACATATATAATGCTCTACCTACATTTCATTCTCCCTTATTAGATTGTAAATTCCTTGAGAGCAACAGGTATGTCTTGTTTACCATTGTACCAAGTAATCTTAACTAATAGGGTAGACTTGTGTAACAGAGACATGAAATTAAAGGAGTGAACTTGCTGGTAGAGCAGCAACCACAAGCGAGAAAGAGAGATAATGAAGTCATAGAACAAGAAATTAGAAATAGGGAAGAAGTAATAGAAAGGCTATGTAGATAACATTCTGCCCTTAGCAACAAGACAGTATCCAGGGGGAGAGTATAAACATTAGGGCTGGCTGGGCACAGTGGCTCATGCCTGTAATCCCAACACTTTGGGAGACCGAGGCAGGAGGATTGATTGAGGCCAGGAGTTTGAGTTTGAGAACAGCCTGGGAAACATAGTGAGACACCCATCTCCACAAAAATAAGAAAAATTATCTGGGTGTGATGCTGTGCACCTGTAATCCCAGCTACTAGAGAGACTGAGGCAGAAGGATTGCTTGAGCCTAGTATTTAGACTAGTAGTTTGAGGCTTCAGTGAGCTATGATTGGGCCACTGCACTGCAGCCTGGGCAACAAAGACTTTGTCTCTTAAAAAAAAAAAAAAGAAAGAAAAGTTAGGGTCACGTAAGTAGCTCTAACCAGAGACCACACATGACCTCAACCTTCCTTCAGAAAAAGAAATGACAGATGACGCCAAAGGGTTTTTACCTAAGCAAGAATATGGAAGTGAATAATAGAGAACTGTGTTTGCCACAAGCTCAAACTGCAACAAACACATAAAAGATGAATTCAATATGTGGAAAACACTCAGAAAAGCAGCATTGGTCAATTTGACCAGTATTTCTGTGTTAATTAAGCAATTTTCTGAGTCAAATGTTGTCTGGTTTGAATCACAAGAAGTCTAAGAAACGAAGACATGTTGGGCTCTAGGGAAGACAAAGGGTCAGAAGGTAAATCATGTCCCAGCTATTAACATGCCAGAATTGGCTCTCATGGACCAACTTCAGGTCTTAAATCAACCAACAACTTCCAAGGCATAAGGAAACTTAAGGGAATAAATGAGGCCCTGGCTGCTATGTATCTCTCTTATACATACTTTCAAAGCCAAGCAAATGTGAGGCCTGCTATATTAAAAATCCAATCCAGGCCAGGTGCAGTGGCTCACCCCTGTAATCCCAGCACTTTGGGAGGCCGAGGCAGGTGGATCCCTTGAGCCCAGGAGTTCAAGACCAGCCTGGCCAACATGGCAAAACCCCATCCCTGAAAAAAAAAAAAAAAAAGTAAAATAAAAAAATTAGTTGGGTGTGGTGGTGCATGCCTGTAATCCCAGCTATTTAGGAGGCTGAGACAGGAGAATTGCTTCAACCCAGGAGTCAAAGTTTGCAGTAAGCTGAGAATGCACCACTGCACTCCACGCTGGGCAATAAAGCAAGATGTCATCAAAAAAAAAAAATTCAATCTAAGAATGATAATCCTACCTCAGCCTTCCGAAACACATTGCTGTCGCTACATATTCTCACCAGTATGAGAAAATCAAATTGATTTTATAGAACTAAGTTTCATATAATACTGCATGTAATCTAATGTAATTCACTATATATGCTTTTAAATTGATGCTACCAGATAATATAATGTTCAATCGGTATAATATTAGTTTAAACCTGCTTCTCATTAGTCACCTAGAAATATGTGTAATGTAAATATAAATAGCAGAAATTTAGAAAACATTTTAACTACTCCTTTATTGCTAAAAATATGTTGACTTTCCTTTTCCTTCACTCCTACCTCCTAATTTTTGTCTCTAAATCTCTCATAGGTTTGCTTAGAGAATAATTCAGTTTTCTGAATATTTCAAAAAGCTTTATCCAATAGGTTCCTTAATCAACTGTCAGTTTCTTGGTTGTTTTGCCTGTTGTCACATTTGCTTATTAGGCAAATTCTGCCCTTTGATGGCTACGCATGTATTTCCAAGGACAGAACTGGCCTTGTGTCTGTATGTCTCATCACTGTTTTCGTTGCTACTCAGGCTGTGCTTCTATTGACCAACTCCATGGATTTACATAAGCGCCTCTTATTTTCCTACCTCATCTCCTTTTTATGACTTTTTAAGTGTTAGAAAACCCACATTTCTTCTGTTGAAGCCCATTAAATTTTCAGTAGTTTCCATCAGATCACCACGTTTGAAACAGAGCAAACCTTAAGTATTCATGTTTGATTGTTAAATCCTCCTTGAATTCCTTTGGAGATCATATAGGAAGTGATGACTTCTAAGTAGGTTCTCTAGAAGGTTAATGAACACTAGTGTGGGCCATTGCTCCTTATGAAATAAACTATCCTGACCATGTACTTTAACATGGATAATGGAAAGGCATGTTTGCTATTTTTAAGTAATAAATCCTAGAATGTAACAATGCAGAGTTTGTATTTTCTTAAATTATGACTTTCATTCCAAATGCTTTGGTTAGCAACCACAAGGTATATCTCATGATATATACATCTGGCATGTGATGCCATTTTCTTTATAAATAAATCATTCTCTGCCATCATTTCTAATTAAAATTTATGACTAAATATTTCAAATGGAAAAAAAATAACCACTGATATCAGGCCATTTATTGTATAATAGCCATCAACCTGACTCAGGGGCTGCCGAGGACTCTGCTGGAAGCTAATTTCAAGCCAGCTAAAGACTGTGGATAGCATTGAGGCAAAGTGTGTTGATAAACAAAGGAGGAGGCTCTGTAATAAGGTGAAAGCACAGAAACTACTCCAACTTTAAGAGTAGTAAGAACATCCCATTCTTATTATGATGACGATAAAGATCAGGAGTAGAGGAAAATCAATCTGATGACCAGTCATCATTTGCAAAAACCCATTGCTTTAAGATAAGCTATTATGGTTTGGGAGTGCAGAGGAAATATATTCTACATCACTGCATACAATGTAAAATTAAAGTATTTCAAATGGCCAAAAATGTATTGAAATATGTATTGCTAATTAAAGTTGTACACAAGCATATGCAACATTCCAGGGAGTTGTCAAAATGACAGCACTCACTGATTTAAGTGAAATTAGTCTAAAAAGACCAACAGAAGATGTGAGCTTAGGAAAGAATTCTCAATAAAAAGTTAGGAGAAGTCAAAGGGAAGAGTGAGGAGGACCATGAAAATGAAGCAGTTGCCATATGCAAAGCTTTAGGTTGTAAGAGTTTGTGCTCCTGTTTGGAATGCTGCACACATTTGTTTGGCTGAAAAATATAAAGTGTCTCTTAGAAGCTTGGTATTTACAATAATAAGAACTAGAAGATCTGGTTGGAAACTATATTCCCATAGTTTCCAAGGGCCTGGCCAAGTTATCACTCAATAAAAATGCATTGGATGGAAAGATGCGTGGGTGAATGGGGGGAGGCAAGAAAACTAACACTGGTAGACTACCTACTACATGAAAGGTACTGTGCTAGGTACTTTCACCTATGTTATTTGATTTTATCCTTCAACTCCAAAATTTAGGTATCATCTCATTTTTGCAGATAAGCAAATTGAGGCATAAAGAGAACAGACCCAAGGGCAAAGAGCTAGAAACTGGGAAAACAAGGATTTGAGTGGAGAGCTAGCTAACTTCTTGTTCTTTTTTACATTATGACTTTAAATCTATCTTTAAATCTTTTTTTTTTTTTTTTCAGACAGGGGCTCTCTCTGTCACCTATGCTGGAATGCAGTGGCATGATCATAGCTCACTGCAGCCTTACTCCTGAGCTCAATTGATCTTTCTGCCTCAGCCTCCCAAGTAGTAGCTGGGACTAAAGGCTTGTACCACGATGACCGGCTATTTTTTTTTCTTTCATAGATATGGGGGTCTTGCTATGTTGCCCAGGCTGCTCTTAAACTCCTGGCCTCAAGAGATCCGCCTGCTTCAACCTTTCATTTAAATCTTAAATGAAAGAAAGGTTTCTCTTAGGAAAGAAGTCAGGCGCAGTAGATGGAGAACTCCCAGTAGATGGAGAACTCCCTCCCTTCTGAATGGGCCTCCCTACTCATTGTCCTCTACTTTCTATCATCTGTAGATTGACTTGACTATTCTTCACAGACCGTAACCACCACTGGCCTTCTGCTTGTTTATTTGCTTTGAAATAGTCATTGTTTTGTGGTTACTGACCCAACTCCTTTGCAAATATTATGGAGTCTTTTAGACATCTTCTTTGGGGTGGTCAGCCAGTAAGGCCAACTGTATCATGTGTTATTTATCAAAGTGAAATTATATGGCTAGAAAAACACAGCACACAAATTATAGAGAGATACTTACATCTTCAGGCCAATATCCACAGTGCATTGTTTGCCTTCTGAAAAGCAGGTATTTATTCACATCATATTATGCAGTGAAACAAAAGATAATCTGGAATTTGTAAGCTAATTGGCTGGAAATAATTATAGCCAATGAATTAATGATGCCTATTTGTTCACGTTTTTCTGTACGTAATCTGACCTATATGTTTTAAAAATATAAACTTATTTTAGCGTTTATTTTAAGTTATGCCATTATTCATGTTCCTGTCAACTGATTTTTGGTGTACTGCACTTTTATTTTTGATAAGATTATTGACAAACCCATTCTTACATGACTACAAAAGGCACAGAATATATATATATACATATATATGTGTGTGTGTATATACATGTGCTCATCTCTGACATTAACATAACTAATCTTTTTTAAAAGTATCATTAGTCTACATTTGCTGCCATAACACATTATTAATCTTTCATGATCAAATGTACACCAAATATACATTTCTTACCTGATAAGAGAATAAGTAGATCCAATCATGCCCATTTTGGTAAATCCAGTCATGCCCTTATCATAATATGGCCAAAGCAACAAAGGCAGACAGAAGATTCTTAGGCAAACACTGTTTCCAAGAATGCCAATGTTTATTGCCACTGAGCAGGTCCTATATAGAATGGGAACAAATATAATAAACTTTTGTGCACACTGACTACTGAGAATGGATCTGTACCACAAAAATTATTTTTTCACTTTGTTCTGCAAAAGAAAAAAAAAAGAACTAGCAAATGCCTCGAAGACTCATTCCCAGAGGTAGAGTACTCTCCCTCTACCTCAAATCCACCCCTGTAATCCACTCTGCTCTGGTCTTTAACATATTGAGGCAGTTCAGTATTTCTGTCAATGTTCATTACCTCCAAGTACAATTATTATCATGCTCAGAAATATAAAAATGAATCTGATACAATTCTCCTGTCCTCAAAGAGTTTACAGCTTGCTGGGGGAGAAAGAGAGTAGACAAGTTTAAAGCAATGTGTTGTATAATGTAAGGGAATTATGCAGCAGCATGTGGTGGTAGCTTCACTCCTTTCTCCAAATATCCTCTTCTGTATCCACTGATTCACACGGTAGCTGAGGAGCTTCAAAGTAGGTAAAGCAACTTGTACTGTCTCTTAATTGGTGTTTAGATTTATCTGCCTGCCTAGGGGGAAGTCAAAATCCAGAGCCAGGATTATAATATCCCTGAGAGAATGTATCATATGGACAAGACTCTGGAAGAGTGTATGTCTACTAGTGAAGGTGCATGTCAGAGGAAAGGAAAGCCTGCAGGTAAGGCATCATGGTGAGTACTTGAGCCCATCCAGACTCAGCAAATGTGGTGGCATGTGTGCACAAGGGAAAGGGAGAATTCTGTGATCAAACGAAGGAACTTCATAAGCTCTATAGCATGCCAGAGCCCAAGCAAACCTCCTGCAGATACCTCTCACTGAGAGTAACCCCAGACAGAGAAGAGTTCTGTGCTCATGATGGTGGAGACTGCTAAGCAGCGGCACTAACGCAGGTCCCTGTGGCACAAAAAGGATAGCTTTGATGTTATGGTAACTCAGAGCAGTCAAAGCCAGTTCTTCAGACCACTAGAGATGATTCCAGAGTTATAAGCCAGGTGATGAAGTTTTTACACCCTATGGGAAGGAATTTATCCTAAGGCCTGTTGAAGACTTTTATTGAGATCAGTGGTTTAATCACATTTCTGTTTTAGGACAATCACTCTGGTAGTTTGGGGGAATGGGCTGGAATGAATTAAGGCATGAACATCCTGGCTTGGCCTGAACCAGTTAGGTAGGACAGCACTGCCATTTGCTGCCTTATCCACAGACAAGTCAAGAAGACACAGCAGATTTCAGAGGAGGGAAAATCATCCTGTTCACCAGGAATGACCCAACCAGGAAATACATGAAACAGTTAGGGGTCATATTAAACAATCAAACTATGACAAATCAAATTTTAAATGTTGTATTTGTGAGAGGACTTGAAGAAGACAACATAATAGTTCAGAAATGGTGTTACAAATGAGAGAGAAAGAAATTGCAATAACCACATACATTTGGAAATCCTTCCAAAAGATAAAAATTACATGTTATATTTTTAACCTTTATCTTCACTGAAAGGCAACCATTACAGGAAGTAGATTAATTGAGAAATGAATTAAAAACTTGGCAAATGGCTTCTCAAGACACAACCAGGTCAGTAACCCATTGTTTGGACCATAAGATACATACAAGGTATCCCACCATTCCATGAGAGACCTGCTAGTGGCCAGTCATCGGTTTATAAACAGCTCTTATCCACTTAAGTTTCATAAATTTTTCCCATAAAGTAGTCCTTTTCAATGTATACCATGGGCTGGAAACCAAAAGAATTTGCTTTTGGAAATAAGTTTTGTGACTAATCCTTTTTCACAGGGTACAACTACTTTATCTCAGTGCTTGTGATGATGAAATGTGCACATATCACCAAATACTCAGAAGGTCTCACCCAGTCATAGTTAAAATGAGTTAAGGAGCTGCTTCTATGAAGTTAAAATGTCATCTACAAATTTAGTGAGATTAGCACTAAGGGGAAAAAAAGTTCAAAAAAGTAAAAAAAGATGTACAGATTTTAACATTATGCTAGCTTCATTGAAATAAGCAATCTCCTAGGTTTTACATCTAGGGGAAAAAAATCTATTCAGTTTTCAATTAACCTTCGGATAAAATATTCCAATAATCTGATATTTCTCCATAATATATGCATCAGGGGAAGTATTTATATTATTAATTCTGGGGATATTCTCATAAAAATTAAGCCCTTCAAAAATTTCATAAAGTCTCGTTCCATTTTCATGTCCAACAGTCACAAAAACATTCTATGACCTCCCTTGCATCTGTTGTTTTAAAATAACTCCACAATAATGTATGATTTCTATTCTTATTTTGTTGAAACCACTGGCATTTGCCCAAGCCGTAAACAAAAACAGCATTCCAGAAACCACCAGACATCAAGTATGCAATTTTCTTCCCTAATACTTGGTCTAAAAGAAAGCCTACACTCGCACATTTACTGTAACCATTGTGCATGCATTCGTATTCTACCACCATCTAGTTAAATTCATTTTTAATGAGTCACATCATGAAGCACTGTATATTTTTGTTGCTAAATTTATTAACATATACTTAAGGGCATATAGTTATAAAGTTTTTCTTGTGGTGTTTGTGTTTGTACTAATTTTTGCTAATTTTCTTTTGTTTTTCCAAGGAATATTTTTGTCTTTCTAAACCTCAAGAATTACATTTGATGTGGTTATCAAGAAAAAAATTCAGCAGTTTTAGTATCCATAGGCATATATTTCTAATATGCACTATCCATATACTTTGAAAATTATTTTGGGAGATAAACCCGGCATGTAAAATTTTCCTTCAAAATTTCCTCCACTCTTTCAGTCCCAGGTATCAAAAATGGAAGGCAGCAGTTATAATGAATGTATTATGGAAATAAATTTAATAATTAGATTCAGGGTCTATAGGTTACAATAGTGAAGAAAGTAATCCATGTTTTCAACAAGAGTACAAAATGAGGCCAAGCACGGTGGCTCATGCCTGTAATTCTAGCACTTTGGGAGGCGGAGGCAGGCGGATCACTTGAGGTCAAGAGTTCAAAACCAGCCTGGCCAACATGGTGAAACCCCGTCTCCACTAAAAATACAAAAAAAAAAAAAAATAGCCAGGCATGATGGCGGGCACCTGTAATCCCAGCTACATGGGAGGCTGAGGTAGGAGAATCGCTTGAACCCAGGAGGTGGAGGTTGCAGCAAGCCAAGGTCGCACCATTGCACTCCAGCCTGGGGGACAGAACGAGACTATCTCAAAAAAAAAAAAAGAAGAAGGCAACAGTGTGAGACAGTGGAAGTGAGCATGGGCTTTGGCATGACCAGACTTAGTTTGAATCAGAGTTTTACAAAAAGTTACTTAATCTCTCAAAATCTGTTTCTTCTACTGGAAAATGAGAATACTATTACCCACTTAAAAGAGCTGTTAAAATGAACAAGCAAAATCTGCTCAAAAACTGCTTATACCTTGGACACATAAATTAATATTAAACAAAACAGCAAGCTAAAAGTTTTGTCATTTTTATTCTACATATTTGTAGGTATTTTATATGTAAATCTACATGTGTTCATATCACAGTAGGCATATGCACATCCATATAAAGCAAGCAATACTGACACACACAAATGTCCACAATGGACCAAACTTACGTGAAGACCTGAGCTAGATAAAGTGTAGAAAGACCTTATTTTCTTATTAAGTTCAGTTATATACATGCATCATTGCTAAATAGGAAATTGGAAGTTTATTCAATGTCAAGAAAAGCCATTTAGCCACTGATGATTCACATTTCGCCTTGAGTAGTCTGGCAGGAAACTGGCATATCACTTGTTGGCAAAACTGAACGGTATTAAATTGAACAGGTAAAAAATAGACTTGCGAATTAACAAAATTAAATTTGCAATACATATTTCCGAATGGCATGGAGCAAGGAATGGTGATGTAATTTACAGAAAGTATAAGGATTCACAGCATAGTCATCCTTTCCAAAATCAAACCTCTGGAGCATTCTAGAACCCCCGCCTCTGGGGTAACAGTGTACAGCTGCAGGCTGCATGGTCTTTGAGCCCTCAGTCTTGTGACACCACAGCCAGAAGTCATTGGTCCCTTTTCTGTCAGAAAGATGACAAGGTAAGTCAAAGTCATATGTACATATACCTAGTAAAGCATATCTATTTCTGTTCACTCACTTTTATAAACCTTCATTCATCTCAATTTCTAGTTTATGTTCATTGCCATTTTGATTCTGACTCACTTCTCTACTTTGACTTCCAGTTTCTGACTATTTCCTGGATCCAGACCATCTCTTGACTTTCTCTGATTCACTAGTTTCAGTCTTCACTGATTGTGGTTGTAACTTGAATCTCTAATTCTGTTTCCTTTCCTCCATTCCCCATTTTCTTTGATTCTACTGGTGATTCAAAAAAAAAAATCTGTATAGTATTCCAGGTACCTACACTCCATGGAGACAATCAGGAAAGGATTTATCTCAACATTCTAATCACTGAACAGGAGAAGGAAATTCCTATTATACTTCTAGGAATGAAATTATGCCATTCAGCCCAAGGGAATATGAGTTAGTTCTCAAACAGGAACTGCTTGTGCTGCATGAACATTTTCAGAGAGATATTTTTTACTTTTGTGTGTTCAACATAACAACCAAAATACAATTTCAGGGGAGGTAGGAAGAACCTGGAATTGCCTCTCTTAGATGTTGACTTTTTTAGTTTTTCCACAAATCCAAGTAAAATCAAAATATAACTAATTTAGAATACTAAACTAACTCCAAAGACTTGACTGGATCCTTCAGCAAAATTAGACCTCCTGGGCACAGTCCCAAGAGACAAGCTGATGTCCTGATGTTTCAAAAACAGTAACAAAGAGAAATGAGGTTTCCAACCACCAGTCTTTTTTCCATTTTAAACACACAAGTCTTGGAGTACTGATTTTAACCATGGCAAACCCATCCTCAGCCCACAGTCTGGATATCACTGGAAGATACAGGCTCTGTCAGACTAGCACCTCTTCATGTCTGGGATGAATGGTGATTTTGCTTCCAAAGTGTTCTGTATTTCTATGTTGCACTTCTCCAACCCTCCAAAATGTCATAGCAATTCATTGGTTTATTACAGCATTGCTAAATGGAGACCATATGAGATGCCCATTCCAAAGCCAGCCACTAGCTTTGGTAGCCATTTATATTCTCCCTTCTGCCTTCCCCTTTGGAAAAGTGTCAAAGGTTCAGTTGGACCCATAGTATACAGCAAACACTTAATTGCCTCCTGTTGGGAACAGTTTCCTCCCTCCTGCTCCATGTTATTCTAGGTACCATTTTACATCTGTTTTCTTCTCCCACCTAAATCTCAGTGTTATATCATATTAGATAAGACAGTCTACTTCAGGAGCTTTTCTTTATCCCTTATCGGCCTTATATATTAGTCACTATTCTTTCATACAATGGGATTCAGAAGAAGAGCAACAAAAAGGAGTTGACTTTTTTCCTAAATGGAAGAAAAAAACCTGTCATTTTGAAGTCATGCTGTCATGGTATCACATATAGCATGCCTCTATTATTGTTGTGTAATGCCTAGAAAACGAAAAGTCTATAGTCCTAGGCATATGAGGGCAAAAAAATAATAAATAAAAATACTCCCCCCTCACTAAAAATTAATGCAAATGAAATGCAGATCAACAACACAGAAGCCTTGGGCTATTAAGTGTGCCCCTTCATACACAATGTAGGCTTGTTACAATACAGAAAGCTACAGACCTCGTGGACACTCCCAAATACCTGCCAAGTCATGCTGTCCTGGAAAAAAACTATAGTCAAGACGAGAAGAAACAACTCTGTAAAGATAAACTCAAGCTCAATTTCAGAAATATGGCCTAGCTCTACGAAGAACGAGCTGAGAAACACATCTGTTATGTAGCAGGCAAAGAATGGTGTACATGTGCAAAAGAAAATGCTATGACAAAGGAAGAGAGGTAAAGCTGAGAATAGCAAAATGCATGCTTCCAGTCTAAAAGACACAGAATGCATGAATGCTTCTTCTTGCACAGGAAAAGATCTCTTCATTTTTATAGCCAAACTTTCAACAAATATTCACTTAATACCACATGCTGGATCCATAAGACATACAAAGTTCTGTGGATAAGTTTCTCTTGGCACCAGGCAGAGGTAACTTTGATTTTAGTTTCACTATTATCAAGTGCCTTTCACAATGTGTTAATTTCACAGTTGTCTTTACATGTTCCTAAATGGTTCTCCACAACTATGGAGGGCTTATGAGAAAAGAAATCTACCTGTCTATGGACAAGTTCCCAATATAGACCAAACCGTATATACGACTTCCAGGGAGCAGAGATTATATTATCATCAGTCATAAGTATGTACCTATAAAGGTTGGGTCATCATTCTCCCCCTCAAACATGACCCAAATTTGTGCATGTCAGTTCTCACAGCCAGTGCATGCTCTTAATATTGAACATGAGGAATAGAAAGAGCCCCATGTTTGAAATTAGACAAGAAAACTGGACAATGATAACGTATGTGGGATAGTGTCCATGTATATTAAATTGTAACAATATTGAAAATTTTATTTCCAATAAAAGAAATGTCTTTTTAATTCTGTTAAAGTAAATGATTCATAGGATGCCTGCAATGCCATTCCTGATCAATTCATTGTTTTCCTTTTTATCTCCAGTTGCCAAGTGTATAGAATGTGACTTCGTAGATGGATGGATGGATGGATGGATGGATGGATGGATGGATGGATGGATGATTAGCTGTGATTAATTATATATTTGCCTCTTAATATTTATTCATTTAAATTACCAAACTTTCCACTATTATCTGAAATATATTCCCTGACATTTTTTAAGAACTTTATTTTCTTCTCTTTTATTAATTTTCAAATGCTACATTTCTTCCACTCTTCCACAATCCAGTACATTCAGGATTTCTCAGCTCCTAAAAAAGGGCACATGGAGCCCCTGTTGCACCTCTCCCTACCATTAAAGACTTGGGTTTTAATACTTTCCATTCATGCATACATCTTTCTATCTGCTTAAGTCCTATCAACAAAATTAAACATCTCTCCTAAAAGCTGCCTCTGCCAAGGGCTCTGATTGATTTTTCTCTGCTAAATGATCAAGTAATAATGATCACTTAATCATTCAAAGACTTCTTGATGACTTGTGCCTAGAGAGCCAAGGCAGGGAAGCTCCTTCATGCCAAGTGTCATCTAGTTGCTGTGCAGGAGCTGAGTAATGTCAGTGGCAAGCCATGGCAGGGGAAGAAAATAGAAAATTGGTGTATGTAACAGCATTTCACAAAGGTTAAAAGCTCAATGTAAATATAATGTCATCAGGAAAAAAACAGGTAGCTTAGTGGTTAAGAGTATGGACCCTGGCAACCATCTTCCGGGGTTCGTCATTCTGGCTGGGTCACTCACTAGCTGTGTGACCTTTAGCAAGTGACTTGCTGTCTCTGTGTCATAATTTCCTCTGTAAAATGAGTGTGATAATTGTGCCTACCTCTTAGAGCTAACGAGATAATTAAATTCATTGAGTAATGTGAAGTGCTTTGAATAGTGCCTGGCACAAAGTACTCAAATGTTAACAGTTATTATCATTTTTATTATAATAATTATTTTTTATTATTATTGCATTGAAGATGGAACAAAAAGGAAAAACAAGATAAAGAAAAGAACATAGAAAAGCCCAGAATGGGGAGAGTGAAAAAACATGGCACCAGCTTTTGACAGTCAAAGGCTGCTTTGTGCTATCATGTTGTGTTTAATTCAAATCTATCCCCCACCCCACAGGTACAAGGAAAACTTATGAACAAAGTAGTTCACTAAAATTCTCAAAACAATATGTCAATGGCAAACCTCCTAACTTATTTTTCAAGAAATATTCATTTTCTGCAACTGCCTAAAAACTAAGTAAAATGTCCCATTTTCTTTAAGTATAAAATATTAGAAATATCATCAACTCTTCAGTAGCTTACATCTTCAGATTAACTCTACAACCAAAACTTCTTCCTGTAAGTAGCCCCCAAAATAGTCTGTTTTTTTCTTTATTCCCCAGTCAAAGTATCAGTCCAGGCTCTGAATACTCCTTTACTTTGAAATCTGACTTTTCTAAACAACAGATACTGAGAGTTTTATTACTCTTCTACGATGCAAAAATATACATTACTTTCTTCTAGAAATTCTATTGCCTTATGTAAAAGGATGACTTTCCTTTCAATGTTCACAAGGTTTGTCTTCAAGTGGACCTAAATTCTAACATTTCTTCAATCTTTCTTATCTGACTGTTCTATTCTGTTCTAGTCCTCTCTATTGTACTCTCTTTTGTTCAAAGAATCCTTTATCTCCTGTTTTCAACTCACCAACATTAATCTGATTTTACCACCTACATTTTCAGTGCCACGCTTGTTCACATTCATTTGACAGGTATTTATTGTGTGTCTACTATTGTGTATCCTAGCATTGCAGATACAGCAGAGAATAAAAATAGACAACATTTCTACTCTCACATAGCTTATGTTTTAGCTGGGAAAGGCACACAACAAATAAATAAATATATAATGTCTAGGTGGTAATGGGTTTTAAAGAAAACTTAAGCAGACTAAGAGGACACCCACTAGAGGCAGAACTATCTAGACAGCTTGGTTAGAGAGGGCCCTTCTGATATGATGATATTTGAATAGATGTCTGAATAAGGTGAGGGGGTAAAAGATGTAAAAATCTGATGTATCATCTTAGGTAGAAGCCCAGGTATCAGCATCTTTAACATAAGGAAAATTACTTAACTTCCATAAGCCTCAGTTTTCTTCTCTGTAAAATAGCAATGATGATAACACCACTGTTTTGGGGTTATTGTAAAAATTAGAGCTAATGCCTGTAAAAGATTAGAAAAGGACCCAGTGCAATAAATAATCATCATTATCTCACACGGCTATGTAAGAAAGTTTAAAAATTTAGGATACACCAACAATACTTTCTGAAAATTTAGGATACACCCATAATGCTTTCTGAAAACTACCTAAAAATCATTTCAGAGTTTATAGCAAATTAAGTAGCTTCTTAAACACAAGTCTGAAAAACCAACAAATCTCTGAGTCCCAGTATTCTAATTTTCTAGATGTAAGATCTTGGGAAGCTTATACAATTTCTCCAAATTTGAATTTCTTTGTCTGTATAATGGGTTGTATTAAGGCCGAGCACAGTGGCTCATGCCTGTAATCCCAGCACTTTGGGAGGCTGAGGCAGGAGAATCACTAGAGCCCAGGAGTTCAAGACCGGCCTGGGCAACATGGCAAGACCCCATCTCTACTAAAAATATAAAAAATTAGCCTGGCATGGTAGCATGCATCGGTAGTCCCAGCTATCCAGATGGCTGAGGTGGGGAAGATTGCTTGAGCCAGGGAGGTCGAGGCTGCCATAAGCAGTGATAATGCCACTGCACTCTAGCCTGGACAACAGTGTGACACCCTGTCTCAAAAAAAAAAAATAAAAAGTTGATGTATGAAAAAGGCCTAGCACAATGCTTGACCTAAACAAATGTTGATTTCTTTTTCCACAGCTTTTTCTACATTTACTTAGATAGGGTAGCACAATTTGTTCATATAATTTGATGCACATAATTAATTTCTTCATATAATTTGATGCATGGAATTAAACAAGTTACCTTTTATAGATGAAATATTTAAAGGTGATCCCATATGGTCACAATAACCTTGAGGTTATTGGGGTATTGGGAGAAGGCAGAGAGGAGCAAGAAAATTAAGTAGTTGGCCTGTGACCAACTGCTTCTACCAAATACCCCAAAAGTAGCCTTTTACAGAATTTTTCTCTATTAAAAACAAAAAAGTTTTTCCTCAAGAAAGTTTGTTTACGTCAGGAGAGATTTATCATTTTACCAAAAGTGGGGAAGTCCTTGAAAACACCCAAAGTTTTCCTTACTAAAAATTCCTCATGAAGTTTGACTTTCCTAAACTCCCAAAATTCCTAATCCCATAAAAAAAATGGCCCCCAAAAGGGGAGGGGATGGTGAGGCCTCCAAAAATTACTACATCTTCAACTATCTGGCTGAATGTTGAAATAAAAGATTTTTAAAATAAAAAATAAAAATTATTGCATCCAATATTGATTAAAGGCAAAAAGACCAATGTATTCAAAGTCAACTGAAGAAAACAAAGGGTGCAAACACAAGATAAAGTAGCATCACTTTGAGGAACTAATTTAAACCAGAAAGCAAGCTTTGAAACAGAAAAGACAAAATACAATTCAAATCCTGGCTGAGTTCCAAATTTGGACATAAATCCTTTCACAGATGATATGCTAAAATGGGTTTGTTCATTCAGCAACTATTACGAAGAGCCTACTGCATGTCAGTTATCTCTCTGGGCACTGGGGAAGCAAAAGCAGACACAACAGACAAAACCCCTGCCCTTTGGGGCGTACACATGGATGGCGACAAGAGATGATACACAGGTGAGAGATATGGCAAGTCAGATGGTGATAAGTGCCATGGAAAAAAATAAAGCCAGAAAGTTGTGTGAAATGCCGAGTCCACTAGGGAGGGTTGCTTTTTTTGTTTTTTTTTTTTTTAATACAGAGTCTTGCTCTGTCACCCAGGCTGGAATGCAGTGGCACAATCTTGGCTCACTGCAACCTCTGCCTCCTGGGTTCAAGCAATTCTCCTGCCTTAGCCTCCCGAGTAGCTGGGACTACAGGCGTGCACCACCATACCCAGCTATTTTTTGTATTTTTAGTAGAGACGGGGTTTCACCATGTTAGCCAGGCTGGTCTTGAACTCCTGACCTCAGGCAATCCACCTGCCTCGGCCTCCCAAAGTACTGGGATTACAGGTGTGAGCCACCGCGCCCAGCTGAGGGCTGCTATTTTTAAGAGTGGTCAGAGACACCTACGCAGTACATAGATGACTTTGGGGAAAGATATTATGCAAGTGAGGAAGTGAGTCATGAAGGTATCAGGGAAAGGAGCACTCTAGGAAGAGAAAATAACAAATCCCTTGGAGGCAGGGATTTTCCTGGATTATCAAGCAAGTGCAAAGTGGGACATGTGGCTGGCGTGAAGTGAGCCAGGGAGCAGAGTAAGGGAAGAAGCCAAGAGGCATCTCAGAGGTCAGATCCAGTAGAGCCCTGGTGTCATTAACAGCACTGTGGCCGTCACTCTGTTCCGTAGAGAGCCACTGGTGGGTTTTGAGAAAGGGACTGAAATGAACTGATATTTAACCTCTATGGATTTGATGTCGGTGTATTGGAGTGAGGAGAAATGGACACAGGAAATGATGACAGCGGCTTGGATTACTGTCTTAAAACTGAGGTTTTATCCTGAGAAAATTCCCTTTTCTAAGACAGGAAGGACTGTTAAGAAGTGGCCTGTTTTGTGAGATTAGGATGGAGATCAGTTTGAGAAGCCCGTTGGACATCCAAACAGCAATGTCCAGTGAAAAAGAAGTTAAATACACATGCCAGGAGTTGAGGGAAGTAGTCCTGGCTGGAAAGAAAAAATTGGGATTTTTCAGAATATAGACAGTATGTAAAGCCTGAGAGATGAGATTAACCTAGAAAGCGAGTGTAGAGAGAGACACCTGAGCTTCCCTGGGTTCAAGAAGATGAGATACAGGCTGGGTGTGGTGGCTCACACCTGTAATCCCAATACCTTGGGAGGCCAAGCTGGGAGGATTGCTTGAGTCCAGGAGTTCCAGACCAGCCTAGGCAACACAGCAAGATCCCATCTTCATTTAAAAAAATATATATTTTTTAAGCTTTTTAAAAGAAGATGAGACACAGCTAGCAAAGGAGTGGAATAAGAGCTGCTGGTGAGGGAGGAAGACAACCAGAGCCATGTGAAAGAAATCATTTAAAGAGGAGTGAGTGATCCCCTATGGGGAAAAATAAAATGCTGCTTCTATGTCAATCAAGATGAGGGCTGAGTCACTGTATAGGAGGCAGCAATAAAAAAAATAAAGTAAAAGATGAGGGCTGAGGACTGACCATTAGGTTTAGCATCATGGAGGTCCTTGATTTTAGGAACAGAGCATCAGTGGAGCAGGAAAGGAAAGAAGGAGGGGTGGAAAGCCTAGGACATCAGATACAGACAGCCCTTTGAGAGGTTCTGCTCTAAAATGGACTGAAAAATGGCCAGGTGCGGTGGGGCATGCCTGTAGTCCCAGCTACTCGGGAGACTGAGGTGGGAGGATCCCTTGAGCCCAGGAGTTCAAGACCAACCCAGACAACATAGTGAGAGCCAGTCTCAAAAAAAATAAAATTAAATAAAAAATAAAATGAATTGAGAAATGGAGAGGCTGCAGGAGAAGTGGGGTGAAGAGAGATAGGAGAAATTACAGCAGAGAAAGGGAACGTTTGATGATAAGGAAAAGGACGAAGCAACTGCTGAAGTGGCATCCAGTGTCAGGCTCCAGAGGAGTGAGGGGCTCTCTGATCAAGAGGAGGGGCTGGTCTCAAAGAGGGTGAGTAGAGTACAACCATGGTAACAGCAGGACGCAGAAGCACTGGCACGGAGGCAAGTAAGAGGCTGAATGTGGAAAGTCAACCCCCAACGTGTTGGACCAGTTAATGCTGCTGGTCTCTCTGAGAGGTAACTATGGAAATCTATAATAAGCCAAAGCAGCTGCACCCACAGCTGATGTGAACCTGGAAGATACAGCCATGTGAGAGGACCACGTCATTATTATGGAAGGGGTTCTTAGAATTGCCACCCAAGTAGATTCTGTTGGAGATGGGAGGAGAAAGGGAGGAAAGGGAGTAGAGAAGGCCACACACAATCTTAAATTCAATATTTCACTCCCGTTAAAGATAAGCTGTTTATAAGCTCCAGTGTAGGGCATGTAATTCTATGTAAAAACTCTGTGGTTCCTCTTCCCACATGTAAATCATGATCACTCTACATTCTGCTCTCTGGGAGCCCTCAAGGCAAAGAGACAACAAGACTCGAGGTATAGTAATAAAAGTCTGGGTATTATAAAATCCACCCTGAGCTCCAAGAAAAGAATAGAAAGAAGGAAGCTCTGAAAAGTACTAATTTACCAAAGTTCAATGCAGTTTTGTAAATTTTTATTAACATCCTCGGAAATCCAAATGCCCATCTTGAAACTGAGGGTTTTTTTCCTCAATTATGGCTATATATGCTTTAAAGATAAACTATGAATTCTCTTTAAACTAAGTGCCTTGATAAAATAATGAGTATTAAATACATTTCAGACCACAGAAAGGACTTATCACAAGTCTTTGTGGTAGCTGAGGAGTGCCCCCTACAGACTGATATGCACAATGCAAGCAGATGAAGAGGAAAGAACTGAGCAGCAGTATTTCAGGATTCTCAATAAGGCATCAATGAAAAAAGGTAAGAAACCTTTGCTGAACAAAATGTGACACTAAAGGCTAGGAAATATATGGACACTATGAATTCTTGTTTTTACATATTTGTAAACAGCAAGAAATGAAAAACCTTTGTTTGGACTTTTCTTCTTTTTGACTCTCACCACCGATTGCCCGCAACTGAAGAATGTATTAGTAAAGTCTGTTTTGTTCTTTGGTTACTTCATATCAATATTTGAATACAAATGAAAATAGTAAAATAGTAAAAAAGATATTTTATTCTGCTGTGCAAAAACAACTACCTGGATTCAGAAATTATTTACTTCAGATGTCGGCAACAAAAATAAAACGTAACATATCTATTAAAATGAAGTTAAATGAATTCTAGTTTGAGGTTTTATTCCTTTTTGTAAAGACTCCACAGAGAAGTATTTGCCTTCTATGAATGTTATCGCTTAAAATGTTTATGTTTTTCAAACTAAAAATCACAAAAAGACATGAAAAACATATCCTATGTTTATGAATAGATTTAAAAATATATAAATCTATAAATGTCAAAATATATTACTACACTAAGATTCAATATTACACACTATATAAAATATATTACAATAATATTTGAGAGGCAGAAAGTTATATAGTATATAACCTCATCATAGTTAATAAATTTCATACATAACAATATATTCCAGTTTAATTTTCCATTTGTAAGAGAAAGGAGACAAAATATAATTCAAAACCTTTACATTTTTTATTAAAGATTTTTAGAAACGAATACTGGTGCAATTTAAATGTACCAATATGTTTGATGTCTTTAAGTTAAACTCAGAATTTTATAAATACTTAGCAATGGACAGAATAGTATTTATCCAAATTAACAGCCTTTTACATGATCTTTGAATAAATGTAGATCTTTGGAAAAATGCGTTTAACATCATAAAATGTTCATTTAGACTCAATTTCACATACACTCAGGAGATATACATAAATGTATGTGATTAAATTGATAAATTACACTTCCAAGCATTTTCATAAAGAATGTTTTTCACACTCAGAAAGAGACAATTAGGGTCATGTTTTGATGGCTTCTTTTTCTTATGGAATTTAATAAGATATAATCAAATATTTATATATTGCTTCTTCTAAAATTTTTTAAATTGCATAATAATGAAATTAGAAAATATATTCTTTCCTGTAGGTAATAAAAGCCAATGTACTTACAAAAAACTGCTTGCTATATTAATCTTCCTAAGTGTTCTGGTTATTGACCTAATAATCACAATTGTCTCTTCTTTCCCTCTTCTAATAATATATACATGATGCATTCAGATGTTAAAATGCAGCACTTGTGGAAATGTCTGTTAAAAAATATTAACATATAGGCCCCAAAAATGTATAGTACATTCGAATTAATGAAACTGACTGTTTTTACATGTAATTAACCTCTTGAATGCACTCACTCTCATTATAGAATCCTTGCCAAAATGCAGTATTGCATTTTGGAAGGAATGAAGGGGAAGGGGAGGAGAGGGGAGGGGAGAGGAGAGTAGGGGAGAAGAAAGAAGGAAGAGAGAAAGAGGAAGACAGAGGGAAGGGATTAGGCAGGTCAGCCAACTGATTTAGGTAAATGAATCCACGTTTATAAACATGCACGTTGTAAAATTAACAATTTTCAGAAGAAAGGAAATAATTTACAAGAATAGCATTGATTCAGAAATAAATGTTATTATTCCTAGATAACAAATACAAATAAAAAATCAAATGCCTTAAATATACAATGTTGATTATATGGTCTTATCTTGTGGAAATGTACAAAAGTACAATTAAGATAATTTTGAATAAACTTTTATTCAAATTGAAAACACAATTTTATGTTGCATATACTCCTTTGGTGTTTAGAAGATATCATAAATTCAGTTACTTCCTTATGCCCCAGAAAATGCGGATATTTTTTAGAAAGGCTATTGCTTTCATACTGTTTCTAACATGAAAAACGCTACCTTTTTTGGCTAATACAAAGAAACCACAATTAACAGTGAAACCATAAATACTTTCTGTGTTAACCACAAATGGCCTTTCCCATAGAGAAATGGCTTACATGTGTTCTAAATGTGTTTGGTTTCGTTTTGTATGGAAGGAGCTGTGGGTATGTTTTTATCTAAGAAAAGAATATGGCATGCACATGCACAACTTTCTAAAATGAGAAACACTCATTGAATTTAATCGGAGTTTCGTCTGGGGCGGAAATTCAGAATTAAGCTCCATGGGTGATGATTTTGGATTATCTGGACAGGACTTCAGGGTCTACTTGCCAAACTTTCTTGGACTCTCAGTGCAACATGAGGCAGAAGGGAGCTTCGCCTGTGTCCTATTATTGTATCTGGTGTAACCATGGGCCGATCTCACCAGGCATAGCCTTCACACACTTTCACTTTATCAGTTTCGTTTGAGTCAGTCCCATACTCAACTGTCCACTGCTCGTGACTCTGCTCTGCTTGAGTCTTTTGTGTGTGCCTGTGTGTGTGTAACCGTACCTCATTTCTTCAGTATTACACATCCTGTGAATATCAGGGAGTCTATGGAAATCTACACGTTGATGCTTGAGTATTACACATCCTGTGAATATCAGGAAGTCTATGGAAATCTACACATGTTGATGTTTATAATCATTTTTCTATTTGAATATAACATGTGCTGGGTCATCTTTATAAATGATGGCAACACTCTGAGAATACATAAGAAAGAGAAAGTTTCTTTCAAAAATGTGACCTTTGCTCACTTCTATTACTGAGTCTCCTTGGAAAAGATCTAAATGGAAATTAAACCAAATTTTTGTTTTGTAGTTTTTCAGTGGTCATATATAAAATAAAAAAATGAGGAAATCAAATTTAACAAATGAACAACTCAGGATTTGTTCAGAATACTCTCTACCCAGTTGAATTTATACCCACAAAATAGCACATCTAAGCAAAAAGATTTTCTCCATAGAAAGCATTTTTTAGAAAACTTTCTGTAAATACGTACCCCACTAAAGATTCATCTAGTCCTCTGTTATCTTAATAACCTATAGAACTATTCCAAAGAATAAAAAGGCAGCCTTCTTATCATTTGCAAGCTTAAGACAATAAACTGAACATTTGTTTTCTCATTTTGTTTACTTTATATGTGCTAAGATGATTACTAATTTTAAAAGAAGAAAACTATAATCTTCGTGGCCCTGTAAATTATTTGATTTTTAAAAAGCTAAGTATTCATAGCATTGAAACTAGATTTTTAAAAAAGAAAACATTCAGTTCAGAAATAGTAATAAAACCCTTGTTTGACATCATGTAGACAAAGCTATTAATTGACCTATGAATTTATTGCTTTTATGTGAATTTGTGATTAATTTGAATATGGTTGTAAGTAATGCTAATGATCTGTGATTCAAAATTAGGGTTATTTTGGTTGGTTGGTTGATTTGTTTTCATGAGGATGAGGCCTGGGAGTGTGTGGAGGCATCAGTGGGGGTGGGTCCCCTTGCCTAGAGGGAGATATAATGGAATTATCCGCAGCTATAGGTCTTTTTCTACCAGAGTAACTGTCCATTTACCCCCTTATGTTGAGCTATTAAATATACATAATAAAACTTGGAAAGTCTTTTATTCTGCTTTCACCCAATTACATTTTTAAAAATGCATTCAAATATATACAGTCAAAAAACGTGTATTAGTCTTTGGTATGTAGGCTTCTCTGTAACTAAGATAGCTACCTATATTTAAAATATTGTCAGATATATACTACTAAAAGGGCATGTATCATCAGATATACTCTTATTTTGATTACAGTTTAAAACTTGATTACACTTAAAAACCTAAAATATGTTCTTTGTGAGAATTTTCAATATTTGGGGAATGAATGGCCACCATGGGTGAATGTTGAGAATTCTTTTGAAAGGAAATTTCTTACATTCATTTTATAAATCAGGTGAATGCAAAAGATAAGAGTGTATGTTTTTAATACATACAGTTTGATTACAGTTAAAAACTTCAGACAAGGTACATAAAAGGTACAAGGTACATAAAAATAAAATCTTAAACTAAGGAGATAAACCATAAACACTTTTGGCTAATCCTAAGGTGTTTCTTAAAAAGGAATTTTAAGGTGATTTTTTAAAATTCTAGAAATAATCTTAGTGTAAGATGGTGTTATAAGATATTAGAAACCTTAAAAGCTGCCTTATAACACCATCTTATACTTCTCAATATATTTCCATTTACCTTTCCATCTGCAATACTAACAAAAGAAAACAAATATAAGTGCATCACATATAATCAAGACCATTTTTACTATCACATGAATATTAAAACAATAATGTCTTACAAACAGCATCAGTCTTATAAATGAAGTTTTAAAAACATACACTCTCATCTTTTGCATTCACTTGATTTATAAAATGAATGTAAGAAATTTCCTGTCAAAAGAATTCTCAACATTCACCCATGGTTGCCATTCATTTCCCAAATATTGAAAATTCTCATAAAGAACACATTTTAGGTTTATTGTCAACCTCATTTGATGTTTCTTAAAGTGAGGTCCATGAACCACTTACATCACAATTTATTTCTGAAACTTGTTAAAATGCAGATCGGAATCTCTGAGGTGGGGCCTGGGAATATTCATTTAACCATCCCTGAAGGGCTTCTGACACGTTCTGATGTTGGAAACACCTTCAAATGGCAGTTGCAGGAGCACAGGGCCTTATTAACCTATCTGTCCCCTGCACCTGGGCCTGTACCTGGCACAGAAGTGCGCTGAGCAGAGTGTAGTTGAGACGCATAACTGGCCTGCTGCTTGGATGACCTGAGACCACAGCAGTCCTTCTCAGCTCACAGCTGGTCAGGGTAGGTGCCTTCATCCTCAAGTTCCCCACAGCATGCACCACGCAGCCCGTTTGGGATGCATGGGCACCAAGGAACCCTCGCTTTGTGTGTTACTGAACTGACCTGACATTCTAACCAGAAAATAAATTCTTGCAGGAGAAAGATTTGTTTTGTTTCTTTTGTTCATTCAACATTCATGGTATACATGTTTATTGAGCACTTACTCCATGCCAAATGCCATGTTTAGAACTGGTATGGAGCAAGAACAAAATAGACATATTTTTAGACCACTGGAAACCCCTTGACTCCTGGAATGGTTCTCAGGAGGGATAATCCTGTACCTAAGTGGCAATTTAGACTTATAGTGTGTATTTCCATCTACTAGAATAGTGGTGTCAGAGCATTTACAGCTTACATACATAGTATCTCCTTATATACTTCCCTTTTATATTTCCTACATATTACAGTTACAACATCATAGATCCTCTTTCAATGATGTGCACAAGTAGGTAAGTATTATCTGTTAATTTCATTTAAGATTACTATATTGGGCATCATAAAATATATTTTTGTGATGGATAATTGGGTATAATATGGTTGAAAACCATTAACTTGGTGAATTTTTTAATATTAACTTGAAGATTTCCTTAGCACTAACCAGAGAGATATTTCCAAAGTATTTATAAAAACACATAACTTAACAGATTAAGTAATATAATTTCACTGTGCTGTAAACTTTCCTTTAGTCAATAAAAGCTTTCACATAGTTCTCAGATATATGCATCAGTGGTCTGTAGTTTAATACCATGTCTACATGACTAGGTGACCAAGAGGTTTCATGGTTTGTCAGCTAATTAAGTTAACTATGGCCAGCACTTACTATATCACCCTGAGAACATTCTGACCAACTAGGTGGTGACCATTGACTAAATGACTTTTTTAAAAATCAAACTGCCCACATTAATGTAACTATACTACCTAGACTCAGTTCCATTCCAAAGAAGCAAGCAAAAATTACAAAAAAAGTAGGTGAGATTTATCCCACAAGGAAGGAATATTCTTGATATTTTCTTACACTTGAAGGACAAAGAAAAGAAATGAAAATTACTCAGATGCTATTAAAAAGCAATAATAATTCTATACCTTGGGAGCTCTTTCCTTCATTGAATTCTAAATCACAGAGACACTAACAAAGTTCTACTTTCTTTCTATGAATGATCATTACTGCAATATCTTTAAATACTTATTCTGGCTTACACTGATGCTAAAACAACAGCATCTGATACAGCCCTTGTATTTGTAATTCAGGTATAGCAGGAGTAATCCATCTTTGGCATTAGAAAATATGCTTTATCAGCAAATGAAGAAGGAAAAACGACACCAAATGATGATAAAGGAATGACCCAGAGTAGTTCCATTGAGCTTTTATCACCATACTGTGTGAAGACCATCACTGTATAAGGAATGGCTTTTCCCACCTAAGCCCTCTCCCTCGAGTCAAACTTGTGTTTCCCTTTTAATGAGCAGTAACCACCAGGATGCCTATTACTTAGCTTGCCAGAATGACTACAGATTTATAGGAAAGAGGTAAAAGTAAACACAAATAATTTAAAATGCATTAAGTAGGAAATGCCTTCTTCAACTAAACTATGTTGTACATTTTATCAAAAATGTCAGAAAATATTTGTAAATCTTATATTTTCCTTTCTACAAGAAAAGTGGCACCCATGTCACTCAGTTCAGCAGTGTGAACAGTTGAATGAAATGGAAAACTCTTAAAAGTAGTGAGTAGCTTTTACTAAACTAAGAGTTCTTGAAAGTCAAAAAAAAAGGTTGTATGAAGTGCATCTTTTTCTTAAAATTATTTTTTCAAGACTTTTGATTACCTGGGCCACCATCAATTTACTATATGCATTGATGTAACCATCTATTTTCACTCAACCAGTAGAAAGTAGAAACAATGGATGTAATGTGTTAAGACAAAGGCCTAGGACAGTGGGACATGTTAGGCCATAAACATGTATATATGTGAAGTGCAGAGTTATTCCCTTTCAAAGGATGATGTGGAACACAAGACAAACTCCTACGCTGTGTGCAGTAGTGTCTGAGCCATGCAGATGCAGAGTGCTCAGGATTCTGCAGTATTTGATTGATTTTCATTTATTCCAATACCTCCTCCTACAGCTATTGTTTTTAGTCTGAGCTCTGATACAAAAGAGCTGCAACCCAGGAGGAACAGATATTATGGAGAGCTTCAGAGCTACTTACTCCTTGACAGAACAGTGATGAGAACTAGAAAACTTTGGAAGTCTATAAACCAGAAAGCACCATCTCAGCACAGCCCACAATTCTCTCTGCTTCAGCCCAAGATTTCCAACCCATTCCTTTTCCTTCTTTCCTCGGGAGGATAACGGAAGAAAAATAGCTTATGTATTTCCATATGAGTATCCCCAAAAGAGAAACAAGGAGTAAATAAGAGGTAGTCATAATTATCTGCCTCATTCCATCCCCAACTTTAATCCTCCTGACCCCAAAGACAGAATGCACATGGATTTAATTGGGATCCCAGGACAAAAAATGGCTTGTCAAAAAAGATCATGGTCTCAGGTCTTAGCATTCATACCTACCACAGAGCCCTGCTGAAGGGCAGGAGTGGCCGTTGGCTGGCAGTGTGTTTGAGGGATCTAATCCAGGTTAAACTGTGTGTGTTGTGATGAGCAATTTCACAAAGACATCCTCACTCCTCAAAACTCATGTATTCCTGCAGGTTCATGGGAAAAATGTCAAAAAGGCAACTGCCATATCCAGCATTTAACAAAATCATATTGGTTTCCACTATTTAGCTATAAACAGTCACTAAGGCTTTAAGCCCTTCATTCTTTCTCTTTACCTCCTACCACTTTCTCACTGTTGATAGTGGACAGTCTAGCCAGAATACATATTTCACACGTCAGCTTAAATCACTCCTGTAGCGTGACATCCCCAACTCACACCATCAAAATGACTCCCCTGTCATAAACCCTGCACTCTCTCTTTATGACACTTGTTACACCTGTATTCAAAGTTTATCTTTTCTGGCAGGGCACAGTAGCACATGCCTGTAATCCCAGCACTTTGGGAAGCCGAGGTGGGAGGATCACTTAAGGCCAGGAGTTCGAACCCAGCCCGGGCAACGTAGTGAGACCCCATCTCTACCAAAAAAATTTAAAAAATTGGTGGGGTGTGGTGGCACATGCCTATAGTCCTAGCTACTTGGGAGGCTCCAGCAGGAGGGTCACTTGAACACAGGGGTTTGAGGGTGCAGTGAGCTATGATCCCATCACTGCACTCCAGCTTGGGCAACAGAGTGAGACCCTGTGGCTTAAAAATAAAAAATTATCTTAGAATAAAAATTTCATGACAGCATGGACCATGCATATGTGCATCACCACTATATTAACAATGCTCGTTCCTTGCATAGTGTAGGTGCTCAATAAAATATCAGTTGAAGAAGTGAATAATATTTTAGTATCAGCTGATGGCAAATATTTTCTGCCATGGGACTCAGTAATAAGTTCTCCAGTGAACAGTAAGGCCGTGGATAATATGGATTAACTTTAACATTGCTGTAAAGACCAAAATTCCTAACATCAAACCCTGCCACCTTTTCCAGGTTCACCTTGCACCAGATTTCTCTTACTGTTCATTCACACTATTCTTTCAGTTCTCTGAGTGCACCACAGGACTGCTATACCACCATGGTTGTTTTAAGGGGCTATTTTCTTTGCTGGAAATATTCTCAACACCTCCATCTTGCATCTGTTCCTCATATTCTTTCTCACAGTTGAATTTTGCATTTATTTCTATAACCTTTCAATTCCTCACCAGATCATGCCATCTGTGAAACTAGGACAGTATCTCTTTATATTCACTATAGTATCCCAATGCCTAGCACAATGTAGGCACCTGATAAATATTGTTGCATGATTAGATAAATATTGTTGCATGACAGATGAATATATTTTACTGTGCCTTAAATCATCCAATTATATTACCATCTTCTTTTTGGTATTTATTGCAATGTTGCCTTTGAAACTATACGTTTTTCTATTCTTTATAGAGTTGCTACCACCATAGAATGCAAGAAAGTCAAAAATGTGCCACCTACTTCATAATTTTTCTCCTTTCTCAAGCCAGGAATTTTCCACAGATATACATCAGATTTACCAATTCCTAGATTTCTCCGAGACTATGGCCAGCCTATAGGAAAGGCCTGTCTTTGCATCTTCAGCTTTGGCATTATAACTTTGAATTGTGGTCTGTCACATTCAGTGGCCCCTAGCATTGATTCTTAACAGATATAAGCTAAATTACTACTCCCTTAACGAGTCCTAAGGACTAGACCAAGGTGGATTTAAGAGCTATGTTAGGCCAATGCATTCAAATATGTCCAAATCACTCACATTTTATGGGAGACATACTCTCTATCTTCCACATACAGCAGAGATGCACCTGCCCCCTGTTACCCATCTCAGGGTGGATGACTAGAATTGGTATTTTGATTTCTTGCTTCAAAATGGTAAGGTCTGACATCACCTCTCATCAGAAATCTATAATTGATTTCTTAAAATGGGATGAAAATGACTTTATGGATTACACAATGAGAGGCTAGACACTGAATTAGACTCAGAACAAACAGATAAAATTTTACTTTGCTTAATCTCAGGAGTCCTCTGGGCATAGGCCACTTGCAGGCAGAGCGTTGGCTAGCATTCTTTTCTTTCTGCTCTTTTAAACCACGGGTCATCTTAAGTAGATGTACCCAGTTAGTCAATCCAACAGCCTTTTTGCTGATCTGAGTCTAATTGTGACAAAATATGTGGGGTGTTGACTTTGGTCACCAAACCCGAGCTATTCAAAACTGCTGATGTGCCAGACACAGGTTTCCTTATAGACATATGTCAAAGGCACACTGCGTGCTCTGGCTCCCAAGCAGGGGTTTTAGAGTTGTTGGCTTCCTAGCTTGCAATTTAAACCCTCGGACAAAAGTATTCTTCTGGGTAGTGTGGGTGCAGCGTTTGCAAGCTTTAAGTTGTTTAAGCTGAGTTACCCCAAAAGGCAATTACTGGCAGCATTTCACTATCTTTCTTGCTCCTTTGATGTGGTATTCATTTTGTTTGAGGCATTTGCCTCATTTAGGAGGTATGAAGATTCTGTTAGGAATCTTCCCTCAACCCTTCCTAGGATTGGAGAATGGGTAGTCTCTGTACAAACCACAGAGCCCACTGCATAAATTGAAACACTTAAAAAAAAAACACACACACACAACTGTACATCTAGCATAATGAATCCAGCGTCTAGGCAAAAAAAAGCTGATATCTACAGATTACAGGACGTAACCCCTCTTGGGTTATCACACTTTGCCCCCTTCTCTCATGAGACATTGTAATAAATGTTTTGAAAAGCAGCAAAAACAAAAACAACATCCTGCCTTTAGATTGACATTTGAAAGGTATATACACAACTCTTTTCCCTAATTGTAACTTTACAAAGATCTTGTAGCCTTAGAAAAATGTCTTCAAAGTGTGAACATATCCATCTTCACCTAGAAGAGTGAGCCAGGTGGGTTTCAGAGCTGCATGAGTGGAAGTAGCAACCAGGCCTGGAAAATGAGCCCGCATGTCCCTAGCAACAGGTCAGCGTCTGCTAATTCCCTAGGTTTTAAATTATAACAGGGTAGGGCCTCAGTAAAAATCTGAAGTCCTGTGGGCACTGGAAGAAGGGAAGAGTTTAAGCTACATGCCAAGTAAGCTTCCAGGTGAAGTGGGCCATACTGATGCACAAAAATAGAGTTGCTTTCAAAAATCAATAAGGTCCATTCCTTGGATTTGAATAAGGACAATGTTTATTCTCTGTCAATGAACTTTTATTTCTGGAAAGTAAAATGAGGACAGATAGACTTTTGAAACAGGTTGTAACCAATGGCTCCATTTTCATTATCTATTTCAAAATAATCCACTTTGCTTCATTGGATTCATACTAGCTTAAAAATTTAAGTTATTAATGCAAATTTTTAAAATAGTGTGGTGACGAGAATCAATGTGAGTATGTTAAATAATTGTGCACTTTTATATACTGGGCATGAATATTACTAATGTTTCAAAACCTAAGTTGGCCTTTCTTTGCAAAATGACTAAATCCTTCTCACATTCTCAGTACTAATGATGTCACTCAGAATAATCTCTTTAAAAAAATACTTGTGACTTTTTAAAAAGCCTTTGCCACAAAATATCTAGTTACTACTAATATGAATTCAGGAAGCATGGAGTTAAAGAAGTTGGCTTTTTTTTTTCTTAAATCTGAACAATTGGAATCAGCAGTTTGCATTATTTTAAAAATGAATGCTTAGAATCAGCAATTTTCTTGTTTTTTTTTTTTAAGATCTTGAGGGTTTTTTTTATTTAAAGTGGAAAACTACATTAAGTGCAAGGCAGTCAACAAAGAAGCAGCCATAAAGCCTAAGTATTCCTAGAGTTATAAAATATGTCCATTGTGCCAATTCCACTGCCAACAATGAAGTTTTAAGCATTAATATGCCTTCATTGCAGTTTTAATGCCTTAATACTGACTCTATATCTCTTTTGGGTAATTTTGCTTTCTCTGGTACTTGAAAGGTGATGATGTCAGCATTCTTCTCACTGATTCATATGCAGGTTGATGAAGCTGAGTTATTTATTGAGTTCCATTATATTTTCTATAAACATTAGTTCTCAATAAACAGAGACATTTAGCCGAGGGTTTATTTATTAAATAGGTACTGTACAGATGGTTTTGCCACACATGATGTGCTGCAGAGGATATTACTCAGGAATAATCAGCTGTGTTATAGCTTGGCTAAATTAATAAGATGATAATGATGAAATTGATGCTTTTGAGCTAGGCTTGGTAAATGGTTTTTGCATAAACAAACTGATAAATTTGAGAAGCAATTACTTGCTTGTCAAAGATAAAAACACAACAGGGCCCATTTATAGTTAGGTCCTATTTATTTTTAAAGATTGTACCAGATTTTATGTTTAATACACTGCAATTAAAAAATAATACTTAAATGAAGAAGAATAAAAAAACTAACTTTCTGAGTTCTTCAAATCTGAAAAAACTGCATTGCTTGATTAGACATCAAGAAAACTTTTTTGCTGCATCTGGAGGGAAAATATATCTGAAAAACAACAGTGTAATATTCTACATAAATTTTTTGATCATATAGGCATATTGCACAAACTGCTAATTTACAACTCCTGCTACTCTTTCATCCCCTTCCCCAGAACACACAAACACACAGACGAAGGGAGATACACACACACTTAATAAAGGGCTCTACAGAAACTTGTTTATCTGGTTCCCAAATAGCAAAGGAATTATTTAACCTAGTTAATGATGTTCTACAAAAATTACAGTATTCACCCATCTTCTTCAACTAAAGTTTGTTCAGTTTTTACCTGAAGTCTGAACATGAAAAATACATACCTATTGATGAAATTTACTGAGATATTTTCATTACATAATGCTGGCTTTTTGCACTGTGAAAGTCGACCTGACTTCTAAAATCAAGGAAACAATTAGCTTCCCTTCTCAGCTATAGCAGAATCTTTTAAAGCCCTTAGGGCCCACCTTTTAGACCTGGATATGCTCACGTAAGTTCCATTAATATCAATACAAGCTACACAACAAATGTATATTGTCTACATCTGTGTGTGTGGGGGGTGGAGGTTATGTTTTAAACTATATAAAAAGAACCTACAGGCTATCTCCCTATATACTGCAGCATCTTATCAAAAGCTACTAAATAGCAGTTTTCATTTTTCTCCTTTTTAAAGAGTCTATGATTACCAAAGGTAAGTTTTAGCATATTCTTATTCCTCAGATATATTTACCGGTATCTACAATGAACAATTTGTCATATAGACAGGGAATCACACAAAAAAATTAAATATTTCAGTTTTAGATGTTAGGAATCAAAACTTTTGTAATCATAATACATCTATTTTTAAAAAAGTTACAGAGGCAGAGACCACCACTATTCAAAACTATAACATGATTGTGAGATGAATAAGATCATTGTTTCATTAAAATAGTTATCTTGTCTTTTGTAAAAAAAAAAAAAAAGACTTTGATTTCCTTTATTAAAAATGCGTTAACTTTAACTTAATGCTGTGACCATTCAGTGCAAGCCACAGTGTTAGAATGAGTATTTTGCATTTTATTGTTTGTGTGACATAAAATGAGCTACAGCAAAATGGTGTGTATGTGCATGGTAGAAATTCTATCCCTCTGGGAAGCTCAAAAACACCAAAATATTTATCTTCTCAGGAAATGCCAGTAAGTACTAAAATGTAATGATCCTAAATAAATAAGAATGGGCAGGATTGTTTTTAACAATATGTAACAGATTTTTATTACAAAAATTCACAATACACTGGTCTGATATCAGAATGCCTAATGATTTGTTATAAAACTTCAGTTGTGATTTTCTCCTCCTTGTTAATTGGAAACAACTGCTTCCCAGGACTAATTGCAACTCTATCAAAAAGAAAGGCGAGCCCAAATATGTCTTAAGGGAATGTAAAAACTTTGAAGGTGAGGGCCCATAAACTGAATTAAAGGATGAAATTTAAAACCATTCTATAAGCTATGCTTTCTAGAGACTCTTGCAATGAGCATCAAGGAAATAAATCCAAAGAGTTTTCCAGTGATGATATCAAGAGGCATGAAAGCATAACATACTGACATGCCTTAGATAGTGAATCCACATTGATCAGCTCACAAATTGCTTACTGTTAATAGAAATTCTATGTTGGGTTTGAAATGTCATTTGCTTTACTGAAAATAATTTTTGGTAAGTGCTTAGCAGAAACTGACTGCTTGAAACTGGTCTGAATTACCTAAGAGCACTGATCTGCACGTGAACGCTGCCCTAAGCTGTAATCTTGGTAATAATCCTACCTAACATGTATCATTTAGTTCATACTTGAAAAATTCAAGATATTCTAAATTACCTAAGAAATTAAAGAATGAATAAGTGCAATGGTAGCTCTGTGTTTCTTGTTCTGCTATTAAAGATTGCAGAAATCTGAATTGATTTCTCTTGATTTCCAACGTGCATGATCCTATGTCACAAACCTGACTATCTGGTTTTGCCCTTCCTTTTATAAATACTCTGCAATGCTGATTCCCAGTAATACACGGCACACTCTTGACAACTAATACGAGGGTTATTTGGTTCTAATACTTAAAGGATTTGTAAAAATTTGCTGCTTATTTGGCAGTCTAATGTTCAAAACAAGTAATGTTGAACTTAGGAAACATATCTTGACATTAAAATTGTCACATTTGTAAAGTTGTTTCTAATCAATGTTCATGTGACACATTTTTTCTCAAAAAAATAGGGAAATATTCTAGTTAAAGTTCACATATAGATATAGAAAAAGGGAAACCATTTTCCTAGTCAAAAATCATAACAAATAATTTTATAATTAAAAAATTTTATTATCTATGTGTTTTATCACATATTTTATCAATATATACTAATTTATATTTACCATTTGCTATATTTAATAGTCCTATATTAAATGTTGGTAGATCTATTCAATTAAATAATCAAAAAGAGAATCAAAGCTCTCTTTTTGACACATTTTGACAGCTATTTTGGGTTTATGGTTTTAAAAATAGTACTGTTTCACATTTTAATAATAAATCATATTTTAAGAATAACAAAATACTCAGAAACATTTACCCAGTTCTAATAGACATGAGCAAAACAGTTCTAATATATTTATTTGCAGTGCCAAAATGTAGTCATGGTTTCTCGTGTTTAAGAAATTTTTCCCTTTGTGTTAAATAATTTTATTGGTTAAAATAATCAAAATCACATTCATTAAATTATTATTTCACATGCAATGAAAAACACTGGATATAGCAGTGGTGAAATTATAAACTCTAACAGAGAATACAGAATGCTCCTTATAGACATACATCGGAGCAGGCTCCTCAGCTAGAAAGCTGAATTATGCCGATTACAAAGCAATTGTATAAGATGGCTTGCATAGATTAGAACACTAAGCAACCATTCAAAATGAGAGTGGGAGAATGTCAAAGGCACCAAGTAGAATAGAACGATGAATTCCTGCCACTCTGTCTCTTAGACTCCGTCTCTTTCATATTTACTTTTCATTTCACTCTTAGATACGAGTATGTGTCTCCAAAGGCTAAAAATGCATTCATTCATTTATTCATTGTTTCTCTCATTCATTAACTGAGTACCTAATGAGTGCACTGCAGGAATGCTAAAATGAATCAAGCAAGGGTCCTATCTCAGAAAGCTCAGAATAGTGGGAGAGACAGCAGAATGTAAGAGACATGTATCCCAGTATCACCAAGTAAAGTACAGCACAGAAGAAAAATTCATTAACAGGTCGCAACTGAACCAACATGCTCAGCTCTTGTATGTGCACGAAAACTGAGGTATCATAAGTCCTGGGAGAAACCAGGAACATGAAGTCTGAGGTTGAATTGATGAAAGAACATGGTAGATACCCAAGCAGATGTTTTTCATCCCAGAACATGTTCCCTGAGATAAGAAACGAGAAAGTGGGACCAAATGTCCAGTTCTAAAATGCAAGAGGAATGTGGGAATGGAAAGGAAGATAAGAGAGAGATGATGGACAAATAACTGAAAAAAGTCCTTTCCATGTTGGAAATGTCTAGATCTTCTGAAAATACTGTTCTTTGAGCAGTAGGTAATTATTTTCTGCTTATATCCCCAAAGACTTCTTTATCTAGGGTAACAACAGCTTCTCCTTTCCCCCCATTTATTCCTCTGCTTCTCTGCTGAGATTCCCAACAAAGATGCCAATTAGTGCCAATTGTCATGATGTTTTGAGATGTAGACACCTGTCTTCTAATAACTGGACTGAGACCACCAACTCATTTCATACAGACCATCAAACAGACATCAACTAGTAATGGCCTACATTTACTATCAACCTGGGCTCAAGCCAAGACCTTCTCCCATGGAACTGCTCAGCATTCTTGACGGCAAACAACAAGTTCAATATGTGCTCACTCTACTCCAATAAGTGGACCAGTACCTGTGGCAATAAGTGCCACTAAATAATCATGTCTCCCTCTCATTCTCTATGTTACCACCATATTTGACCTTTGTAGAGTCAGCCTTTCTTAAGCAAGTATTTTTAAGACCCACTGAAGTGGAATGCAGATTAAGACTTATGCACAATTTTTTTAAATATGGAAACTACATTTACATATTCATGTCCCACCATAAGATGAGGAGGTAAAGAAGGCTGCTGTATGTTAAATTCCAAGAAGCAAAATAAACAGTATCAACATCAGGGATGCATGAATTCCATGTAAAGTATTTTATAACCATCTATATATTGTAATTCTCTAAAATAATCTTTAAAGTAACTTTAGAGTACTTAAGTTCTAGATTCTCGGGTTCCCATATATACATTGAACATTAAAGGGGATATGGGTTTCTTTTTCAAATGTTAGTCTAAATGATCAAAAACACACAAAAAAAAGGTTTAGATCAAATGACAGTATTTGAAGAAATTAAGAGATGAAGTCCTAAAGAAGTGCAGGATACAGAGAAATTATTTTTAGTTCCAGTGGTAAGATATAGGATTGAAGAAATAAGTTAGAGTTAGTCCCTAGAAGGCTAAAGAATTTGTTGGGATGGGAATGCTTCAGGGATATTAATATAACAGAATAAAATGTACCTTATATAGAAAGACCAGAGGCAGGAAGGGCAGGTGGAAGATAACAATAGTTGCCCCAGAAAAATCTGAAGTGGGGAGGGGCGTTTCTTAGAGAGAGTGTTGGTTGAAATGAATAACTAGGGGAGAGGCTGTAGACTTATAAGGAAATAAAGTTGACCCTAAGAGGTATCTGGGTATATAGAAGACAGTGAGCTAGCAACAACAATCAATCAATAGAGGGAGAAAAAACAGAGGAGGTCAGAGGTAGATGCAGATGCAGATGTGGATGTAGCTGGGCGGGACATAATCATTTCAAAGTGCTAGTGAGCAGCTATCTCACTAGCACTCACAATTTCTATCTACTTTGGGAGTCACCTGAGAACATATAATAAAACACAGAAGGTAAATGAAAATGTAAAAGACTGCAGAGCTAGAAGACAAAAAGACGTACAACCTAGTCCCTCAGAAGTACCTTGTCTAACCATAGAGAGAATAGTGCACCTTCATAACAAAACCAAAGAAAAAAAAAGACAGTAAGAGTTAAATTCAAAATGTTAGCAACACAAAGCATTTAAATGTATAAGCATTTAGTCTTTATAATATATCTCTGACTAATTTTAATAACCTAGAAATTTTGGAATTCTGAGTCATGAAAGCTGAAGGTGGTCACTGTAGAGGAGTAACTCTCAAACAAGGATGATTTTTTTTCCCTCCAGAGGACATTTGTCAATATCTAGGAATATTTTTGGTTGTCACAACTGAGAGGTACAATTGGTATCTAGTGAGTAGAGACCAGGGATGCTGCTAAACATCCTACAATGCACAGGATACCCCCACCACAAAAAGTTACATGGTCTGAAACGTCAATATGGCCAAGAAACTCTGCTATAAGTCACTTTGGTTCTTTGCTTAATATTATCTAAGATACGTGACCAGTAAAGTCCACTAATGAGATGAGCTAATATATTACCTGACTTCTATTCGAGTGCTTAAGATAGTTATTCAAGGTACAAGGAAGACACTAAAATGTTGTAAGGTAATTTCTACCATAATCAAAAGTAATATTCATGGCAATTTGTATTATAAATATGTAGTTAAGCATTTAGAATTTCAGGTATTTAAAATGTTCAACACTTTCCAGTGTAATTGTGTTTCCTACATTTCTATTTTCCAAAATTCCATCAATTAGTTCATTCCTCACAGTTCCAATCCTTTAAAATGTTAAGATAAGTTAGTAGATACAGAAATGTACCTTGGCTGACTTTATTGCTAACTTTCCTCTTTGATCCCACATAACCTCTCCAGCACTTAAATTCCACTACACTCTGATGCATATTATTTTGTTATTTATGCCCATAGATCTCTATGATACTTATTTTGCTTTTATGCAGATTTTATTTTGGCAATGCTGCTATTGTTGTGTAAAAGTGCCTTCACCTAAACCCTCTCACAATGAAGCCAGCCACAGAACAACTTAACATCTGTGATTTACGGTTTACAAGGCACTTCCATGACATCATCTCACTTTTCAGGACAGTATGTGATACCATGTGTTACCTCATAGCACATGCTACGAGTTATCACCATGTTGGGAAACTTTGGCTTAGAGATACTCTTGAAGATTGGGCCCAGACCTTGAGCCCAAGTTGTGTGATTCTAGGTCCATTTAACCACATCCCTTACCTGATTGTGGTAAACGCACCGAGTGCCCCTTCCTCCAACCTCCAGGCTCCATGTTCACAAGGCCTGTCACTGTGTCACCATCTTTTGTGACACTGCTTGTGCAGATGAAATAAAATGTCCAATTTCTGAGGCTGCTGTTAAACCTCAAAAAACAGGCTGCTTCAATGGATAAGATTTTGATTACCACACTTTTTCTGGGCAGAGACTTAAGCTAATCATTCAAATGGGGCTAAAATACTCTGTTTTAGCCAATCCATCAATTCTCAGTAGGAAATGTTAGGTTGCTGGCTTAAAATATTAAATATGACAAGATTCCATTAACATGGATTTCTTTGTTGGATATTCACAGAAGAGTTTCCATGTGAGAAAGAATTCTGCTGACATATGTCGATATTCGCTTCCACTGCTAATGAGGGGTCCCCTTGGTCTCCAAGTTTCTTAGTCTCTGTCTCTCTCCAGCACCACCAAACTCCTCTTAACATCTTGGAAAATGGGTACCGAAGTAATGGAGTCAGTTATCAACTGACAGCTCTGAGATATGACTAGAGATTATCAAACATTATTTGGAATCTTCTCTGAAACATACATGGAAAAGTGGAAAGTGTTCTTTGTAGCTGATAAGAACTCATGAAGTGATGTAGAATAGAACCAGAGAAGGGACCTTAGAGTTCAATTGTCCAACAAGCTCATTTTCAGCTGAGAAAACTAAGCCTCAGAGAAGAGAAACTTTAATATAAATCATGGTCATTGCAAATACATTTAAAATGATGAAAATCTCTCCTGTCCATTTACCTTCTGCAGATTATCTTTCATTCCAATGCAGCAAGTGCCATTTTCTCTGGATTTTTTTCCTTCTGTTGTTGACTCGTCTTTCTCAGTGCTGTAAACTTCTTGTTGACTCATCGCTGAAATGAATTATTTGTGTTTATTTAACATTCAGTCTGCACTTTTTTACTCATGTTAAATATGTGGACTCTGGGACTACCTGGATTTGAATCCTACTTTTATCAGATGTTGGATAAGAGACTTAATCTCTCTGGCCTGCATTTCCTCATCTTTAACATAGTGATAAAGTTGTAGCTACATAATAGATGTTAGAAGAGAATAAAATGAGATTATAGATGTAAGAGTGTGTGTGCGTGTTTTGTGTTTTTTTTGTGTGTGTGTACATGTGTACCAGGCGCATCAAGGCACACATGCTTAGTACCATGCCAGGCACATAGTAAATACTCAATAAATGCCAGCTGTTATTTCCAAGAATAATAGATGTAATTATCAAAATTCTGGTTCTATAATTGAATTCAATAAATAAATAAATGTCACAAACCAAGTCACCTAATTGATCACTATGTATTTCCTGGGAGTTGGAGCTACAAACATGCCTTATGAAATAGTAGCCATTCATTGACTAGCACTGTGTGCCCATCCCTGTGGCAAGAATTATTGTTGTTTTGTCCCGTTTGAACCTTACAACAATCGAACCCTGTTTTTCTGTTTGCAGATTAATAAAGTTAACCAAGTCTGAGAGGTGAAATGACTTGCCAAAGGTCACTTAGAGATATTGGAGACAAGACTGGAAACAAGAGGTGTCTCATTTCAAAGCCGTTTCCATCTAAACCACTTTGATTTTTCCTCCTCTTGAATATGCCCTGCTCTGGAAAGTGTATAATCACATTCCCAAACTATGCAGACAGAAAACAAGGGATGTGCAACATAACAGCAAAAGTTGAAGGTCCTCATCCCTCTAACTCTTCTGCCTCTTTTCTTTGACATCTACCACTTATTTGTCTCAAAGTTTCATTCCACAAAGTTTGGATTCTAATTTTAAACTTTCATGACACACCTCTTCCTGCCTAATCATATAACCATTATTATTTCTTAATTTATGTGTCATCTTATTAAAAATGATTCACAACAAAAGCATTTAAAGCCCATCATAGGTAAACTCAAAAAATTGTTTATAGTACACCAACCTTATGCTATCCATACAAAATAAAATTAAAGCATTTTATTAATGGGTTGTTGCTTCCAAAAAATCCCATACCAAGTGTACTGCCTTTGAGAATCTACAAAGACATAAAATCACATATTGTAGGCATCCCATTCTGTGGAAGATATCAATTCAAAATAGTAAGGGCTAGATTTTTTTTCTGGCAATGGAAGTTTAATAGATGTTGAATGAATGATAGAAAAAAACAATGCACTAAAAAGTAATTTTTATTACTTTTCCTTTGGTGAGGAATACTATTTAAACATACGTGTGTGTGTGTGTTTGTGTGTATGTGTGTGCATGTGTAGTATGTGTTTGCTTTTCATAAAGCCTCTAAATAAAATTGGAGAGTGTATAATCCAGGAAGCTCTAATGTCAATCTTTATTTTACAGGCACCAAAATGTATATCAGAAGAAATTGTCATTCATCATGACACTTTACATGTACTGCATTGTTTTAATAGAAAAATCTGAAGTTTCATTATGTTAATGTTGAGCAATGAAAATAAAACATCATAAAAAAATAAGCACTTTTTGGTGATTGGCTATAGCAATTTTCTGTCAGCTTCGAGCACAATAAAAGCATACTGAATAGAGATAGAACAAACACCAGGAATCCAGCAGCACCAAAAATGTTTTACTGGATCCCTGGAAATCTAGTGTTCATAAGTGCCAGCCAAATAAAATGCAACTTCTCCAGCAAAACTATGTGATAATTGTTCCAGAGAAGGATTAATAGAATAATTCTTCCTATACACCAATGCTGAAAGAAATTTATCCAAATAACATTTCTCATTCAAAGTGATGGACAAAGTGACACATTTAAAATTAAATAGCTGATGCAGGTCGAATTCAAAATAGAGGAATACTACAGAGAAAATGCAACCCAGAAGCTCATTGATTACTTTGATTTTTTTCCTTTTGTAGACAACACAAATATAGAATTGATATGTGGTATTAACAGTAGAACCATCTACCATATGATCATTGTGCAGGAAAAAAAAAGCCACAAATACAATACTGTTATAAATAAGCTTGAGTACTTTCTGTTTACAGACACTTATTTATAGAGAAATTAACTAAAAATGTAGATTGGTATAAGAGGGAAGTGCAGATTTGGCTTAATATAAAATATCTTACTCTTAAAAAGTAAACTATTTCTTATGTATCAAAATGTCCACTTTTAGAAGATTTTATTATATTCATATTTTTTCTCTTCACTTTTTGCTTAAAACTCCCTTATTACAGCAATTCTCTTTGTCATGAAACAAATATTTTTTTATGTAATGTGGTGTACTAACCAATATATAATACTTATTATACAACAAACCTATAATAAATGATCAATATTTATTAAATTGAGTTAATATTTAATACTGTCACATAAAAATCTTTCAAAATAAACCACTCTATTTGAAAGTAGATTAAACAGCATTCCCCTGCAATGTACTAAATATAAAATATCCATCCATTCACTTACAAACCACTTGAAAGAAAGGAAAGACATGACGGCTAGATTATCAGGTCAACAGTTTGCCTTCACTTTTTGCAGCAGATTATTCAGGTATAATACAATTTACAGAACATTTTCTAGGAGATGATTAAAGATGTTTTAATCTGCCTTTCCTGAGACAAGTGAGTAAATTATTGTTTAATATATCCTACCCTTGCATGAAAAAATCTTGAAATACTAGTCAGTTTTACTAAATCTTTCTATTTTGTGTCCAAGAGTTTAAGTATTGCCCAAACCCTAACTTTGTGAAACTGATTTTCCTTCCCTATCCCAATTCCTTTATATGCCAGAACAGTAACTGTCCAATAACAGCAAAAGCTGAAATAATTGCCCAAAATAGATTTATAACACCCCTTCTTGCAAATCTGGATTTTGTTTTGTTTTGTTGTTTTGTTAATGGCTGATACAAATTTTTCTGAAGACTTAAATGAATAAGCCTCTTTTAGTGAGGGTTTATAGGCAATTGGGGTTTGTATTATGTTCTATATGTTTTACAATACACTGAATTACAAGATATCAGTATTTTCCCAATCTTCTGAGAGTATCTATGTTATTACAAACTTCACAGCCTGAATATTCCTGCTTGGTTCTCTTATATTCATTTTACAGGAATGAGTACTTTCCAGTCTGCAAGAGGATAAGCATTATCTAACCTATGACATGTGAACCCTTGAAAAGAGTTCATATGATCTGCGGGAAAAAAATTAACGAGTGTCCACTTTGCAAGATTCCTAGAGTTTATTTTGGTTTCCAGGACCCCTGGATCTTTTCAGTCCTGGTGTTCATACTTCTCTGAAAACAGAGACAGTTTATGGCCAAACCACTGGCACTGCCAAGCCCTTGGCCAAACTATCTGATGGAGTTCATGAAGATCCCTCTTTGTTCTGTTGTCTGTGCAGACAACACTCACTCGACTGTGTAGAAAAAAAGTGCTAGACTGAAGCTGTGTGCACATAAGTAAAATATTGTTGAATACTGCCTAAGGAAATAGAAGAACATTATTTTAAATTATCTCGATCATAAAATCCAAGTGAAGATTTGGCAATATAGCAACAAAAAACTCAAAACCAGTGATTCTTTTAAATAAAAACAAAAATGAGAAACAGTAACTATTAGAAATCCCACCTGGTGCTTTTCTCGTGTTAATGATGCTTCTTAAATTGCATGTGGGTAAATGGTAATTTTGTCTCACACCATTAAAAACTAATGGAACCCTTGATGATAAGAAATGCCATAGCTAGCTTGTTGGAAAACGTTTAATTAATAAAGTAATAAAATTATTGTAAACTAGTGCAGTTTCAGGGAGAATTCAATGGGATATAAAACATATAAAACATCCTAGCGAGTTTGTATAGAAAATAAACATTACTATATAAAATACCATATAAAGTAAAAGGGGTTTCTGTAACATAGAATTAAAATTAGCTATTATATTAATAAAAATCGATTATTCTTTCAGGGAAAACATGCTAGAGAACACAGCCTATAAAAAGCTATTTTCTATAATTCAAGAAAAGTCAGACACAGAAAAACATAAAAACAAAAAAAAGGAATGTTAACTCTATTTTTTCATAAGTTGGAACTCAAAATTTAGGCATAAATATGTATAATAATCTTAAGATAACAAAACAATGGGTTAAAATAAAAGCAATGTTATTCTTTCACCTACCTTTTCTAAAAATAAGTTAATTCTTTAGATAAACTTCTATACTTTTTCCAGTGCACTTTACATTTTTGTCAAATATTGAAACATGTTCAAGAAGCCCAAAGGAAGACAATTTTGTCATCATTTGGGAATAAATCACTAAATAATAAATATTCTAATGACCAGCCCAGTTTTTCCACGACTCCATAGGATAGTGTTGATTATTTTCCAGTTCTCTAAATCTCCTTGGAGTTATATTATTCTAAGACTAAGTTTATAAAAGGAACAAATTTAATGTCCTCACAAACAGGAAGATTGGGAATCTTCAACCAATGCCTCAATAAAAAAGGGATTTGAAACCTTCTATTACCAGTTCCACAGTGATAAGTAAAGTTGCCTTTGTAATGGTGGTGTTGCCTATTACTTCTACAGTAACTGTAGAAGTAATACTGATTTTTAGAGCTTTATTAATTCAAATTTTCATGTATTCTTTTATATATAAGCTTAGATGTATGCATTCATTCATTAATTCCAAAAATATTATTGAGCAACTTCTGTGTTCCGAGTGCTGCTATGGGGGGACACAGCAGTGAACAAGACAGAGGTCACTCGCCTCATCCAATTTATATTCCAGTTCTGATTTCTATTTTGTTCGGAAATTGAGCAAGTTTCTCCTTCTCTAGAGACCATTCTGTAATCTGTTCCAATTGCATATGTTTTTGTCAGTAAATCCCTAATTACTTTTTATTTTTCACTTGACGTTTTATCCCTAGTTTTTTATTTTTAATTAAAAATTACTCTGCTTATAATCTTGGGAGAGGAGGTCTTAGCAAATCTCCAAATCATAAATGATAAGAAAAAGTTTGACTTCACTATGCAAAGAGCTTTTAATAATCAATAAACAAATAATAAATAACATAATTTAAAAATTAGCAAAGAACTTTAACAAGTAATTTATAAAAGAGAAAATTTAAAAGGATAATAAACATAAGATACACAGCATTATATTAAAAAATACAAGAATTTCAGATTAACATAGTCACAAGAATTTATTTTCCTCTCTGACAGAGAAAAAAAAATAAAAAGTTTATTATACCAAGGTAGGTAACAGTATGTGAAAAGATTTACTCTGAAATTTAGCTGATAGCACAACTTCTAGGTGTTAATTTGAAAATATCTATTAAAATTTAAAATATGTGCAACGTTAACTAAATGATTCTGTTTCAGAAATGTATCAAAGGGAAAAAATGGAAAAATATACAAAGACATATGTAAAAGGATATTAATAGCAACATTATTTGTCAGCTGAAAATTTAGGGGAAAAATAATAAGGGACTGGCAAAATAAATTATACAGACATAAAACAAAAACACAATTGAAGAATAGCTCTCTATATATTTGATTAGAAGGATATCCATGACACACCATGACACACTATTAAGGAAGGCAGATTATGAAAAACTATGTATAATTTGGTACCATTAAAAATATGTTGTTTGTATATCTGGAAGATACACCCTAAACTTTAATTACTGTTTCTAGCAATGAGATTATGGTAGATTGTAAGGCACTTTTCATTTTCCATTTTATATATTTCTAATTTAATTCTCTGTTGCTTTTAATGAGCATTTATTAAGTTTGCAAACAAAAAGTATAAATACTTTTATCTTTAAGAAATTAAAAAGTCATTCTATTCTCAAAGACACAGAAACCAAATGTAATTGTCTGGTTCAGTTTTCAGGATGCCAAGGTCAATTTCCTAGAGTTTAGAAAGTGAGGTGTTTTTTTTTTGTTTTTATTTTTTTACTTTTTTATGAGTTTGAAATATTCACATTGTCACAACTTACGAAAAACTTCAAATTTGTAGGATCAAATATTATACCTGGATAAAGAAAGAAAGTGCCCAATATATATATCAATATATCTTTACATACATTTCCAAAACATGGGGCAGAGCATCCCTGATCATTCAAAGCATTGCTTCTTCACAGAACAGCAAGAAAGTTCACTTCAGAATTACATCAGCATTTGCATAAGGTTAATCATCAGCCATAAATACAGATGGAGGCTTAGGATTTTTTTAATCTAGGTACCCAGCAATGCTAAAGATATCATTAGATAGGCCGGGCGTGGTGGCTCATACCTGTAATCCCTGCATTTTGGGAGGCCAAGGAGGGTGGATCACCTGAAGTCAGGAGTTCGAGACCACCCTGGCCAACATGATGAAACCCCACCTCTACTAAAAATACAAAAAATTAGCTGGGTGTGGTGGCATGCGCCTGTAATCCCAGCTACTCAGGAGGCTGAGGCAAGAGAATCTCTTGAACCCGGGAGGTGGAGGTTGCAGTGAGCCAAGATCGCACCACTGCACTGAGGCCTGGGCAACAAGAACAAAACTCCATCTCAAAAAAAAAATATATATGTGTGTGTGTGTGTGTGTGTGTGTGTGTGTGTATACTTCTATGTATACAAAACAGCTGTTCAGATTACCATAGAGTACATCCCAGCACATTCATTCTAGGAATTCACAAGAGGTATTACTGAGAAGCCATCATAATTCACAAGGCTTCTCTCTCTCCTCCAAATTTGTCATCAAGCTCAGGTGATTCTATCTTAATGTCTGTCTCATCTTTCCTCCTATTCACCCATCATCATAATGTTAGCTCCAGCTCAAGGAATTTCTCACCTGGCTTTCCGGTCTTATGACCCCATCCTTATTTCCTTCCAATCCATCCTCCTGATTGGGGTTTCTAAAAGACTGATTGAATTATGTGGCTCTCTTGCTCAAAGCCCTTTTGTGAATTCCCAAGCTTTTCTAAAATCCAACTTCCTGCTTCCTTTCTAAGACTAAGACCTCCTTGAAGGCAGAAATACATTTGGCGTAGTTCTTGGCACATAGTAAACTCTCAGGAAATTTTCGTGGGCTGACTGAATGAATGAGTGAGTGATTAAAGAATGTATCACCCTGCACCCCGGAAACCTACACATCACCAAGTATTTTCATTAATAATCATATGACTGAAAACCATCACTGATTTCCACTACTTAGTTTATAAACTAACCTTTCGTGCTCTGGTTGACCAAAGTCATTTCTAAAAAGTGAAATGAGAAGCAAATATATTCCTAGTGAGATTTTCAGGTTGAGCTTAGCACCAAAAGACCATCAGTATCCATGTTAAACACCAATTACATAAAATGGTTTTGTCATCTAACCTGATGTAGGGCTCTGAGTCCACATGCTGTTTAAGATAATGGTGTTTCTAGTGACAGTCAAACAAAAATAAGTCCTCAAAATAGGTTACGAAACTGGAGGGAATCTCTTTCCATTGCAAAATGTCTGGATCTGTGTATGATTTAATAGTAACAGCAGCTTTATGGTGTGATGAAGTTAGTCAACACATGATATAGCTGTGGATTCGAAGGAAATAAAAGCAGCAGGCAGACGGACAGATAAGCCTTGCCAAAACAGTAGGAATAAAGGAAATTCTTAACAGCAAAGATCAACCAAGAGGCAAAAGAAGATAGATAAAAAGTGATTCAGAGGCCAGCTGCAGGATGGTAGTGAGAGCTCTGAACTAGGAGTAGAGGCCATGTTTGTGTCTTGGCTTTGACCTGTAAAACGGACATATCCCCCTTGAAACCTCTAAATTGCTAGCTTTCAGTGTGTGTGTGTGTGTGTGTGTGTGTGAAAGAGAGAGAGAGAAAAGACAAGGTAAGATAACTCTTTTACAGCCACTTAAACATTCACTTAAACATTACATGGTACAATATAACTTAAACATTATATGGTACAATATAGAGAAAATGTCATTAAACATATAATTATTCAAAGAAGCATGGTTGGAAGAGGCTGCTGGTCACCTTCAGATTTTCTAATTTATACCTTCATCTACAAGTATTCTAAAGTCTGTTTCATCTCAAAAAGTTATTTTGAATGCAGTCTTTCATTGACATCTAGCTATTTTTAAACTGCCTTGTGTCTCATTTACCTAAGAGCCAAGTTTCCCAAATGAATAACTTAAAATTTTCTATTGTCTCTTATGACATTGAGGCTTCTGATCCCAATTCCCTGGCAGCCTTGGCTAATGGATGTTTTCAGTCACCATCTTTGTTCATTTCTCTATGGCTTTTGATACTTACTCACCATCTCTTTCTTGATGCTCTCTCCTTTGACTTCCATGTACTACTGGTCTTCCTGCAATATCTTTGACTGTTCCTTCTCAGTCTCCTTCACTAGTTCTTTTCTGTGTGTCTCTTAAAATTATACCCCTGCCCCCACTCCAACCAGACACACACACACACACACACACACACACACACACACAGAAAAAGAGACTTCTTGTTTCACTTTTCCTACTATTCTTGGGCAGATTATCTGAAGTGCTTGAACATACCAAGAGGAGATTTATACAAAATCTGGGTAAGGATTAACAATAAGGAGATAAATATAAACACTTAACTCTCTAAGAAGTTGCAGTTAAAGAAACTTTCTAAGAAGGTTATTGAAAAGGTGAAGGTATAAAGGTGTCAAATTCCTATCTTCTATATAACGAAATCAGTAGACAATATATAAAACTGAAAAATGAGCAGTCTGTAGTATCAGCAAGTTATTTCAAATGCAGAGGTAAACATCAGGAAAACAAAAAGTCAATCGGAAGCATTGGAAGCATTTCCCTGAGGAGGGCGAATTGTGGAAGAGTACAAGGTCTGCTAGGCAAGGGACTGCTGTTTTTCACAAGACCTCTTATAATATCATTTGGCTTTTTAAACTTCATACACATTCATATAAAAGCTGACAAGGATACTATTCCAAAGCCACCAGTTTCTTCAAATATAAAATTAGTATTTTCATGTAAAATTTGCCTAAATGAAAAAAGATAACTGGCCCCATTCCAAAGCAGACCTTCAAGAATGGAGCAATAAAACAGAAAAAAAAAATGCTAGCATGGCAGTTGAAGGAGGAGATGAAGTGAGCACTGCCATATGGAATGATAAAGAATTAACTGCATACCCCTTTTCTATTAAGCACAAAACTATATTACAATAATCAGCTCCTAAGTCTTCATAATATCTGTTATAAGCAACTCCTGTGTTTGCCAATAGGAGTTTCCTAGGTAAAATTTTATCTGCCAGTTCTTTTTTTTTTTTTTTTGGTATTAAATTTGTTCTAAATGTATTTGATTCTTAATTTAGATGTTAGACTAAATAACATGGACTTATCTTTTAGGTCATTTATGTTGGCAGATAACACATTCATTATTTATCTCTTTACATGCATTAAGCATAAGAAATCCAAACAGAAAATTGTTGATAATAAATCAAGGGGTTCATATGTATATAACACATCTTTTGCATAAAAATGCAATAGTATGAAAAGAGTAAACACTGAACTTTCCACAGACTCCTATATATTCCATATTGTACAAATCTACCATGACGCCCTAGTGTGGCATCTTGTAGAAGCCTTTGGGGCTTTGCAAGTGTTATTGGATTCCAGTACCAATAATTGGTCTAATGTATCTTCTTTGCAGGCATTCCTGATTAAAAAAACATAGAAAGACAATCCAGAGAATGGAAGGAGTAAGGAAGGAGCATTCTTTAGCAATCTCAAACTAAAAAGGTAGTCATAATCCATAAACTATTGATCCAATAGACAGAAATTTCCCTTTGTTTTAAATCAATTAACATTTATACATGAGCCATTAAAAAGCTACCATGCTTATAAGCCATTACAGTGTGTACCTATTGTATTGATTAGCATGCAGTCAGTTATTAATTAATGACATCATAACTCTCCAACCTCTTAAAGGCTTTAGTGTCTTAAAGAGACACACCACCCTGCAGAGTTAAGTACTGTATATCTGACACTCTTCATATCCTTGAGCAGAATACTGTTTTCATAGATCTTCTCTGTATCCTTCTAATGCATGTCAGCCCGTACTGCACGGTGTGTCCTCCGAAATAATCCATTGCATTTTATAAGTAAGCCATAAAAATCTCCAGAGATACAATGGTTTTAACATTATTTGTATGAGTGACAGAAGCGTATTAACTTCTCAATGCATACCCAAGATGAAAAGTGTGGTAATTTACAAGGTAGGTACAATGACTGCCTTCTAAAGCTAAATGCCTCTTTCATCCTAAATACCCTCTTACACTATTCCTAAAGTGTCCTAACAAAGCAGGGCCTAAAACTACACAAAAACACAAACTCTATAAAGTCTGTAATATCAAATGTGCTTTCTTTAATGCAATATAAACCAGAATAATACTTTTTAATACCTTTTCTTATTATCTTCAAGATGGTTGTCTCTTTAGAAAAGAGAAAAAAGTCTTCAAATATTTGAAAATGAAATTTTTAGTTCAAGCTTCTGCATGGATGTAAGAGAACTAGAATAAAATCCTAAATCATACTGTGAAGCAGTCACTTACACTTAAAATACTGCAGTCTTTTGGATAACACACTGTCACCACTGAAAAAGTCTTATTAAGTACACAATAAAGTAAAATTTACCCTAGGGAATCTAAAATCTATTAAAGAATGTTAACATCATCTCTCTATCTAAATCAAATTAACATCTGAAGAAGAAACATATACCACAGAATAACTAATTATTATTCTGCCTATCCCCTATTAATCATGGATAAGCTAGTTATCTGGTTTTCTCTCTAAAACTTTAAAAATAATACAGAAATTTAACTGACATTTCTTCTTTATTCAACTGTACTTTGTGATTTAAAAAAATATTCTCAATAGATTTACATTAAACAGGCACAAGAATGAGATCAAATCACCTAAAGTTTTTTTATTTTTCTACTGTGTTCTCTGAGGTCTTAGCAAATTACTAATTATCTTCATTCAGAATAATTGGGGGAAAAAAGGTGGAACAAGTTTGTGTTAATTAAACCTGTTGAGGTTGAAATAATGTATGAACAAATTAAGTGTGCAGAATTATCTCCTCGAGTAACATCCTCCAACATAACTCAGCCTCGAAGATGAAAGAAAAAAGCACCAAGTAAGATGATGATGGTTATTAATATTACTTTGCCTCAAAAGAGCTCTCTCTACTATTAGCCTCAAAAGAGCTCTAACCTCTCATTAAATTAGAGATCAACCTGAAATAATCTGAAATGATGGTTACAGCATGAGAGGGTAGAGTAAGAAGTTGGTTAAATAAGGCTCCTGTCTCCAGTATCTGGGCCTCAAATAGAAGTCAGGTGTATCTGCTTTTATGAAAGACTTTGGTTAACGAAACAGTTTTTTGGGGTGTTTTTTTTTAAACCACAACAAAGTTATGCTTATTTCTTCCATGAAGGAAGACATCTTTTTTTTAATAAAATTGGCAGTGAGGTTATGTGTAAGGCAAATTGTGACTGAGCCAATAATCTGTCATTCTTACCATCCAGAATGTTCACATGAAGACATAAACAGAAAAAGAAGCCACTTCATATCTAAAGAAAAAAGAAGAACACTCTTCCACAGGATCTCAAAAACTCAGATTCACACTAATCATGCTCAGAGGTGAGCAGCAGAGAAGGTATGAAGGGAGAGAGAGAAAAAATACTAATGGGGGAACAGACACTGCAAATTATTTCACAGTAGGGACATTCCTGTAAAGTCTACACAAGTGTGTTTGGTAGGCCCAGTAACACTGCTCTGGTTTTAGTCGGGACAGGAAATCATCATCACATGCTATGTGGTCCTGATGCAGATACAAACAGTCTTTTCTTCAGTAATAATAGCTCAACTTCTAATGTCCCTCTTGTCATGCAGTGGTGTCTGCAGGACCATGTCACAGACACAAGAGCCATTTCTGCACTCTGTTCAAAGTCACAACCGTGAGATTAGTAACGGATTCATTACATGAGAATGAACTCATGTTAATTCTTTCTTTGTTTTCCTCCTTTGGTACCCTGAATTCCATGATTTTAAAAGATTGTCCCTTCATTCAAGGAAAAATCCACAGGTAGTTGAAAGGTATCATTTGGTGTTTGTGTACATCTAACTGTCTCAGATAATTATAGAAATGTTGAGTAACTCTAAAAGAATACATTTGTGGGGCCGGGCATGGTGGCTCATGCCTGTAATCCCAGCACTTTGGGAGGCCGAGGTGGGTGGATCACTAGGTCAGGAGTTCGAGACCAGCCTGGCTAACGTGGTGAAACCCCATCTCCACTAAAAATACAAAAAATAGCCAGGCATGGTGGCGTGTTCCTGTAATCCTAGCTACTCGGGAGGCTGAGGCAGGAGAATCGCTTGAAACTGGAAGGCGGAGGTTGCAGTGAGCAGAGATCATGCCACTGAACTCCAGTTTGGGTGAAAGAGCGAAATTCTATCTCAAAAAAAATATATATATATATATATCTGTGTGTGTGTATATATGTATATATGTGTATATAGGTACATATATGTATATATGTGTGTGTATAGATACACTCACATACATACATATATGTATACATATATACATATATATTTGCTGACCAAAAAAAAGGAATATATATTTATATATATATGTGTGTGTGTGTATATATATATATATATATATATATATATATATATATATATATATAGTGTGTCTGTATATATGAATATATATACACAATAATTATGCATGGCATAATGATGAGGATAGGTTCTGAGAAATGTGTCATTAGGCGATTTTGTCATTGTGCAAAGATCATAGAGTGTACTTACACAAACCTAGACAATACAGCCTGCTACACACCTAGACTATGTGGTCTAGCCTATTGCTTCTGGGCTACAAACCTGTATAGCACACTCCTATACTGAACACTGCAGGCAATTGTAATACAATGGCAAGTGTTTGTGTATCTAAACATATCTAAAGACAGAAAAGGTAACACATAGCACTATAATGTTATGACAGATATGACATCACCAAGCAGTGAGGGTTTTTCAGCTCTATTATAATCTTACGTGACCACCTTCTTAAATACAATCCATCATTGACCGATCCATCATTATGTAGTGCATGACTGCATAACAAATATGGTAGTTAATTAGTTATTTGGAGCAGATCATTTTACTGGCGCTTATCTCAGATGTCAGCTTCTATGAATCCAGAAACCTATCTGCTAAAGATCTTACTTTACCTGAAAAAACAGATTGGCACTTATTTAGAAAGAATTATATGGAGTCCCTTGCTATTCTGAGGTCAGGAAGGAGCAGTGAGCTCAAAAGAATAAAGTTTTTTAAGCATCTCTTGTGTGCCAAATAATATAGTAGGTGATTTAAGCATTGGTCCCTCACAACAGGATCCTTATTTTAGAGGATCCTGAGACCCAGGGCAAAAATACAGCTCGTAAGTGTTAAAGGCTGGATTTGAACCCAGATCTTACTGACTTCAAAACCCACGTCCTCTGCATTCCACCAGTCTGCTTTACTTGCATTAAACTGGAGAGGCTACTGTGATAGTTCTCACAAAATTTCCTATAACACAGAGCTTAGTACCCTGCACCTAGGAAGAAACAGCAAGGCAAGGGTTTTTATTTTTATTGTTGCTGCTGTTAATACTGCTTTAAAGCACGGGTCAAAATTCAGACAGATTATTGTGAGACATGGCCTGCTTTGTATCATCTAACATGGGACTCTCTGACATACGGTTGGTGTCTACTATTTAACAAGCTTGTCTTCTCAGTGGTGAAGAACTTTAGTTTTCCATTAAGGCTTTGGTAGAGTTCTTCAAAAATCAGTCAAGACAAAATTGAAAGTGATTATTTAAGCCTCTTCAAAAACTTCAAACCTGAAATTTAAAAACAACAAAAATGGCAAAATTAAAATTGATAGCAGCATGAATTTTCATGTACACAAACACACCATATAGCCATGTGTGCTTTAAGGGAAATGTTCCCTGTCTTATTGAAAGAGAGGCAACTTGTTATGATTTGTGCACACTTTCATGAAATACCAAAGAGGGAAAAAACCCTCCTGTCACTTGTCAGCTAGTTCAGTCAGTGCTGCTGTAGAGGTACCATAACATATGCACGTCCCCCTTCTGAAAATGTATCAAAAGGGGCTTTGGTAAACTCCTGTACAAGCATATCATATGTGCTAAAGCCAAAATGACTTAAATTCTATTTCCTGATGGATCTGCACATCAGATGTATAACTGATTAGTGACAACTGACACAGAAACAGAGAAAATGTTCACTGTTAGGATGAACACACGATTCACAAGAAATGCTATCAGGATGGCATACTATACTTTCTGTATGCATGTAGAGTATGCTTCTCTCCTAGGAGAAAATTCTAGCCAAAGAACTTTGCCTTTTAAGTACTAGCCTCTCAAACTGACTTGGAAATATGTCTTAAAAATGCTTATCAATTTAATATGTTCATCATTAAAACCCTGAAAAGCAGCACAAACATTCCACTCTTGAGTTAAAAATAATTCATTCAGAAATATTTCTCAAATACCTATTCTGTGCAATGTGTACTTCGCCAAAGCATAAGTGACAGAAAAAAATATATGCTGGTAGCATAAAGAAGTTCAAATAGAAGTTGATCGAGTTATGCACATGGCTCATATATTGAACAATTCTCAAAGATGTCAAAAATGTCAGAGATTTTGAATGGCCCTTCAAGAATGGGTAACTTAAACCAAGATAGTATTAAAGCATCCAAGAAAAAGATAATGTTCACCATGTATATGAAAGACAAAACTGTAAAGCACCGTATTCTCTACCTAGTTTATTTTTATTTGTCTTTCAGGAAAGTCACATGGGCCTTTCACTACCCTGGGGAAAACTATGCCGCACCATTAAGTATAATACAGAATTTAGGCCAGCCACAAAACAGACTTAAGAGAAATGGTTTTCTTTCCTTCAAAAAATGTAAAAATATATTAGATGCATAATTTCCACAAGTTCTTACATTGGCAAGAAAATTATCTTATGTGCCCTTGCTTTTGTTTGATTTAAGATTTTTTTTATCTTTTCAAAAAGTTTTCCCTCCATGAATGTAGAGATGATGTATTTTACGATGCCTGCCTCACCAGGCCTGTCAATAAAATTTCAACATATACAGGTAGTTGTGTCCAAGGTCTCAGGTAGTCAAACAAAAGACAGTCCTGGATTATTATGCTTCCCACTCCCCTCTCCTGCTCCTCCCCAGCCCCTACTATTTCTAATTCTGAATAGTTTGCTTTATTTGTTTAGTTTTTCTTCCTTTGCAAGCTTACCTCCTGCCCCCCACCTACCCAGTTCCCAAAAAAAAAACTGCCAGTTTCAAGCTAGTTGGAAAGAAATGCTCTCTCTGCTATTTTCTCTGCTTGTTCAAATCACATGTAAAGATGTAGATTAAAGAAAACATCTTAATTCAGTTCGCCTAAAACAAAATGCCTTATGTGCCCATCTTAAGTGCTGCAACAACTGCCAGCCGTGAAGAGACATGAATTACTGGTTGGGGAGGGTATGGGGCCAGTCCTCTCACATCAAGTCTGCACAGGATGAAGGAGGCAGCCAAGCACAGGTAACGGGCTCACTTCTTTTACCCGATGGACTTTGGGGTAGAAGGGTATCCCTTCTTCCACGTGTATTCTAAAAACCCTTCTTTTTCCTTTCCCCTCCCCTTGCCTCCTTTTCAGGTAGTATTCTCACAAAAAGTGGCTGCAGATGCTCTTTGTGAGATGGTGACATTCCCATCCCAACCCAGGCTGCTCTGCCTGGCACTTGCTCTGTTTCCTGGGTGCCACGGCCCTTCCGAGCTCTGCTTACCCGCGCTTCCAGCCAGGATGCCAGTGCCATATTCTGATTACTGTGAGGAAGCCAGTCACTCCAGGAGGCTATGTATTTAAAGTTTTTATACCAGAAGAACTGCACATAGATAAAGATGCCTTTCATCAGCCCTGTGAGAAACCAACACCAAAACAAAACCCTGGAGCAATTGAGTCACTTTCTTAAAGTGAAAACCCAAAAAGCCAGAATTCTAGGCCTTTATATTATAGTGTCCATTCTTAGGTTCTGTTTTACAAGTAGTCGTTTTTGCATTCTTCTCTTTACAAAAGGAAGAATAAGATCATGTAGGTTTTATATAAATGTAAAAAAAAAAAAAAAAAAAAAAAAAAGCCTCTCTCTCCCGCCACTGGCACTAATATCCTTGGTATTCTGCTGTCTCTTTTGCCTGGTGTGTTTTTAGCATGTTTTCATACCCTGTGCTCAGTACTGTAACACATAATGAAGGTTTCCAATCTCTGCTTACATTATTTGCCAGGGATGGTTTACAGAAAACATAGTCAACCTATACGGAGCATAACACCTGAAGAATATATCTAACTTATGAGAAAGATGCTCACAGGAGAGACTATTGCTTTAAAAATATGTATAATAAAGTAAATCAGCTCACATGCCAATTAACAGCTTACCGGAACATTACCTTCTTCTATGTGAATTGACTGGCTTTTGCACCAGTTCCTAATGTTAATGAAGTGATAAAGAAACTGCAAAATATAAAGGATATATGTTATAAACCAACCTGTTGATATTTTGAATAAGAAAACTCCTTATACTGCACCAAGTTAAACACTAACTATAATATAATATGTGGCACAATATTCTAATGTACCAAGGAAGTCCCTTAAGGTTTAAATTCTGATGATCTATTCACTTTTGATAATTTTTATGATCTGAAGTAGTTCTCTCTCTAATATAAAACATATCTCCAACCACCTACTACTAGTTATGAAAGCCATTAAATTCTTGCAGATTGAAGGTGGAAAAATAAATTGTGTGTATTTTAGACCCTGAATGATCTTCCTATAGCAATTTTAGAACAAACTATGAAGAATTCTGCAATTTTAATCTCAGTAGCTTCCCATTACTAAACAAGCAAAGCGCCACGATACAAATGTAGACGTTACATGTCATCTTGATCTGCTGCTTTTTTCTTTCATTAAAGCTTTAATGCAGCAATTATGGCTACGCTGCCCTATAAAAAAGGAAAAGGCAGTTTACTTTAAAAAGTGAAATTGCATAGCCTACTATTTAATTATACACAAATGTAAATGGCCTATTTTTCCATAACTGGTTATTACAGCACTGTTTTACTTTCTGAGTTTTCACAATCTCTAAAACCTACAAAGCTTCCTGCTACATAATTGTTTTGTTACATTATTGTTTTCATCTTATTTTTTCTTTTAATGTGAGTGCAGCGGGATAAATCTTGGTTTTAAGCCAGCCACTACTTCATCTACTTAAGCTTTTATAGATGAAGATTGCTGTAATTATCAGAATACCCGCTTATTTCTGAAGTATTATCCTGGCAACCTGCTGGCATTTACAACCAATTAACAAGCTTTGCCATTAGTTGCATGAGGGGTATCGCAGAGTAAACCCATTGTGTGCTAATTTTCTATTTTAGATAATCAGTTTGGCCATCCAGAATAGAAAGAAAAAGAAAAGAAAAGGTTTGACACTCAGTGGCAGACATGGAAAAATTACTGCGTGCCCCTAGAGACAAAGGTATCCTGCAACTCAATGATTGCTTCCTTGCCATCACTATTGGTTCTTAAGTACTTCCCTTTGTCTCTTTTGGAAGAAAAAAAAAAGTGGAGATTCAGCAAAGTAATCATGTCCTGTCTCACACGCTCTCTGTCTTTTAAAACTGACTAGCTTCTCTTGCTGTCCTGCCCATAATTTGACCAAATTGTACAAGTGTTAAACACCTAAAAAAAAGACAGAAAGAAATTGAGCACGAGTTCTTGGTTTTCTTTTTTTTTTTTTCTAACAATGCCTTTCAACCTCTTTCCCCTCCTTCCCCCCATTGCTATTAGAGTAAATTAATGCATGGGCTTCCTCCAACCCGGCTGCCTTAAAATTAGCCTGCAAGCTGGGTTTAGTTAAAGTAGTGTGTTGTTTTATTGCTCTGTTTAAACAGTCTCTGATATTAATATGTCCTGAAGTTTGGTCTAAAGCAAGACAAGAAGGTACAGTTATGTTTTGCTCTTAAAGCTCAAGCTTCACCACAAAAGGGTAAATGGCATCATCAGAACAAGAACTTCAGTGTGGGGGCACAGGAGCCCTCTGGGGCTTATGTTCAGAAATTCTCTCTATGTTTATCTGAAAAGTTCTTCTAGGCAAAAAGCTGCCTCCTTCGCCCTACCCCCAGATGACACTGAATCAGATGCAACTCTTCTCTGTAGGAGAAAAAGCACAACATGTCATTTTAAAAGCACTAGTATTGATCAGCACCCATAGTGGCATTTGTAAAGCTCTTTGGCCACAGAGCTTCTTAAATTTCCATGCCAAGAGCCACTAAAATCATAGTGTTTGGCACCTCCAACATGAGTTAATAGGTTATGTCTATTTGCAGACGTATCTTTAGAGCAGACCAGCATACTCCTTGCTTTGCTCCTTCTCAAAGGACCCATCTAGGACAACACAGTTGTAAAGTACCCATCTCTAAGAACCTGAAGTTGCTTTAGCTGGAAATCATTGACTGCCTTCCCCTCCCCACACAAAAAAAAAAAAAAAAAAAAAAAAAAAATCTGTAAAAGAACACTCACTATCCCGTGCATCAAGTTAAAACTTCTAAAAAATCTCTTTTTGTCCAATAGTTTGGTCACAGATGCAGGTAATGAATGTGTCTAGAGACAGAGCCATACTATCAGGGCATGACACCACTATAATAGATTTTTCTATCTTCATAGTCAAATTCAAGAGTCATTATGCCATTACATTTGAACATATCTTTCCAGCAGATGAAGACATTATTATGCTTCTCACAAATACAGCTTATTGAAATCAAGAAGAGACGTTCTATTCAAGGTTTGTTACATTCTCATCCTATTGTAAAATTCTTATGAAGAAAATCCTAGCTAACTTTTCCACTTTCACAGCATGAGGACCTAAATGCTCGTGTTTTGTGCACAGAACTACACACACACGCACACACAGACACACACACACACACAGACACACACACACATGTCAGAAGTCACTTAAAAACTTGGACAGTGACAGAGAAGGAAATAAAAATGTTGGAAGTTCCTTTATCATTATTTGTATCTCTTGGATGTTTCAGACAGTTATGTTAGTTAGCCCTGTTTTATAAGTTTATATTGTTATCCCTATAGTTATTTTGAGAGGCTTTTACTCTTTAAATTTATTTTATGGCTGTATTAGTTTCCGGTTTAAAAATTGCTGATTTCAGAACTTAGTGAGTTGAATTTTAACCTCACTTGATCTCTTGGAGCTATAGTGAAAGAGGACAGAGGAAAAAAAAAAACCTAAAAATGACTTTGTTTAGAATGCTGGAATTAACAGAATCAACAGGTGAGAGGAACATTCCCTAAGTCTTGTTCCCTCAACAAGCAAGAGGTGATTACGTGATAATGAGCATCATCTCTGAAGTTCACGTATTTCTCTAACTTTTTCTAGCTTTGCGATCTTGGTCAAGTTACCTCTCCGTGCTCAGTTTTCTCTTCTGTAAAATGTGAGTGACAATAGCCACTTCATAGAGTTATCTTAAAAGTTAAATTTAATAATGCATGTAAAATGCTTAGCACAATGCAAAGCACATAATGTATACAAATGCAATTTTGTAATTTTATCAGTGTGCTAATGATTATGCTAATCACTGCCAGGCTGCTCACATTGATCAGGGCAGGAGTCCTTATCACACAGAGCTTATGTAACCAATAAAAAGTCCTGGCAGAGGCCAGAAGGGAAGAATTTAAGAATATTTCATAACATTTCCCCCTGAGCATAAGTAGAAACCAAGACCTATGGTTTGGATTTTGCTTGTTAAACAGGTAAGCTTGTCTAGTTTGTTAAACAGGTAAGGCTAAAAAGATAGTAGTGAAGGAGAGCTAATCCCAGACATGATATACTGGTAAGCACATGCATAGTGTTTTATAATCATCTGTTAATTTTCGAAGAACTCCAGTAGAGTAAGCAAAAAAAATAGCAGTGTATGGCTATTACTAGTCAGTATTTGACATTACAAAAATATAACTAAGCTTGAAATCAGCAACAAGAGTTTATCTAATAACTGGAGATTTTATTTCAAAATTACTGCTATTAGGCCCAATAGAAAATGTTTCCCATAAACAGAGGAAATTTGGTTTCTTTGCCTATAAGCTCCATGAGAGCAAAGACCCTATCTAGTTTGCTTATTGCTGCATCTCCAGCTCTCAGCCAAGGTTTAACACAATTATTATTTGTTGGATGGATGAATGAATGATTTCATTTTCTGTTGGTGGCGTTTCTATCAACCACTAGTCTTTAATAAATTATTAAGTCAATAGGTGTTAAGTATCTAGTGCTGTATTAAATATGGAGCTAAGAATATGAAGAAAATGATATGGGAAAATTTTGTCTCTGAACAGCTTACTAAATAGTTTTAGAGCCTCTTTAGGGACTTCCCTGTGATAATGTTGCTACATACTAGAATGGTATTAAGCTTTGCTGAAAACTGCAACAGTATTCTCAGCCTGCAATTGTTTTATAAACAACAAATCCAAACTTCTTGTTTCATGAAGACTGCAGCAAGACTGAACAACTGTTCATTAAACTCCAAAGGTCTATTAAAAATCCCAAATATGCTTGTTTCAAGTAGTGGTTTAGGTTTTGTTCAATTACTAGGCCAGCCCTTGTTGATCTAATAATCCATCATAAATGTTGGAAAAGAAAAAGTAACATTTGCATCAACATTAGACAAAGGATAACTTAAAATTGAATATAAGTCCATTTGTAAAATAAGTTGACAGTTTTCCATTTTAAAATAAAACCAGAACATACCTTACAACTTGAAAACTTCTGAGCCACATTTCTATTGCTGTCAAAAGGTGAATTGATTCCACCTCTACAGCCTCATCAAAGTTCTCCAAATGGCAGCTTTCAGCTGTTGAGAGTTACATTTCGATTATATTTGAGATGAGTTTTCTAGTGTGCTTTTTTAATTGGCAGGAATTTAAGAACCACTTTTATATCACAAAGAGTTTCCTTTTAAATTAATGAAAGCAAATAAAATCTTGCAAGATTATCTGTCATTTGAAGTTCATATTTTGCTGTGTGATGTTAAATTAAATAATATCCCATGTAGCCATGGGAAACTCAGAATAAAAGTATTGCAGTTTAGATTAAAGGCCGTAAAATGTGGTATAATAAGTTATATCTTTTAAGATATCTGTAGCTCTTAAAGAAGAAAGCAAGTAAGGACAATTATATTTATGTTTCTAGCCCAATAATTAAGAGCACATTTTAATTGTCATTGTTTTTCAGTGTTAAGTTAAAACAGCTTTTCAAGGGAATGTTAGTCCACAGAAGGATGTGAATCATTTGTGTTTCTTTTGAGTTATTTGGCTATTACCATGCAAACTCGCAAGTCTCAATTCAGCCCCAATATCACTATTACAGCTTTGATCTATGGTATAAAAAAATAACAAGTCAATTCTGTCATTATGACCACATAATTTTTCACCAATGTAAAATGATTTCAAAACTGTATTTTATGTTCTATTAATTTATGGCCGAGAGCTTTTCAACCACACACATACATACACAGACAGAACTCTTTATCATTTTTTACAACTTTATTTAAAAGTATTTTAAAACAGTCACATATGTAAGACTATATTTTCAAGATATTTGTGGAAGGAACCCAAATCAGGACAAAAAAATAAATAAGTAAAAGTGCACACAGACTCTGAAGAATATGCTTTATCATGTCACTACTTTTGAAGGAGAAAAGAATAAAGGTCAGGAAAAGCAGTTGCATAGCACAACAATCTGGAAAGGAAAAGAAGTGTCGTTTATAATGACACAAAACCCATGCTCACAGATGAAGTGTTCTGGTTTGGGGAAGGGCAACCATCTGAAATGGTGGCTGAATGTGGTGTCAGGGTAGCATCAGAGAAGGACCTCTCTTCATTCTGTGGTTTATTATAGTGACCCAAGCTCTCCCATCCTTGGGGCCTCACTTACTCCCATGTTGGGGAGAGGAGCTAGCAGGCTAAATGCCACTCTCTAATCCAGAGACAAGGTCACCACTTACATTCTGCTTTATTCTCTTACTGCCCCCTGCCACTAGCCTTAGCCCCAGTCCTGACTACAGACCCTCTTGTTAGCAACTTTACTGGAGGACAGAGAAGAGGAGAATGACAAATAGTTATAGTACAACCCAAAGCATAAGAATCTGGAGACTACTATTTCTTGCTAATACTAAAATATAAGGGAGCTCTAGGGCTTGGGTTCAAGCCCTAGTGTTGCCACTTTGTAGCTGTGAGATCTTAAGTAAGTTACATAAGCAATCTGTACTTCAATTTCACGCACTGTAAAATGGATGTGAAGACAGCATCTATCTCATAAATCTCATAAACTTGTTTTGAGAATTAAATGAGTTCTGAGGCTCCACATAAAGTGCTTAGCACAGTGCCCAGTGCATAATTGATTCTCTATAAATATCAGCTATTTTTATCATTATTGTAATGTGAACAATGTCTATCTCCTAGGTGCTGGCACCATCCCACCTCCCCTTCTTATGTTGACCCAAAGCACCAGAGACTGCCAAAATAAGTTTGTGTCTCTGGACACATGAGTATTTAGATGGCTCTAGAAAATAGAACATAGCTTTATTTATTGAACACTGCCTGTTTGGGAACCCATTGGTCTTACACAGTGGACTAAGCCAAGATGTTGAGAGGGGCCCCAGTGGCCATTATGGACACGTAGTGTAGTCAAAGTTCCAAAGGGTGCAGTCAGACAGACCTGGTTTGGAATCCCTCTGCTTCCATTTATCAGTTATGTAAATCTGTAACCTGGTCAAATTCAATCATCTTTCCAAGCATCAGTTCCTTTTCTTTAAAAATGAAAAAAATTAAGAACTTGTTTGCAGTACTCTGGGAAATTAAATAGAAAGTTAGAGAGCTAGAGACATGTCATTTATTACCTAGCACACAGAAAGCACTCAATAATGTAGTAGTATATTTACTAAAATCAGGAAAAGGTAGATTACGGACCCAGGGAAACTGTGCAGGCCACATTATTGTCCCCCAAAGATGTCCATGCCCTCATCCCTAGAACATGTGAAGATGCTACATTATATAGCAAAAGGGACTTTGCAGATATAATTAAGGTTAAAAACCTTAAAGTAGGGAAATCATCTTGGATTATCTGGGTGGACCCAATTGAATCACATGAGCCCTTAAAAGCTGAGTACGTTCTCCAGCTGGAGGCAGAAGAGTGATAAGGTGAGAGAAGTCAAAGAGGTTCTAAGTATGAGAAAGATTTGCTGCACTGTCCCTCACTCTGGGATGGAGGCAGTCACAGGCTCAGTGAGGCCTCTAGGAGCAAAGGGCAGACCCAGCTGACAGTCAGCAAAGAAAGAAGAATTTCAGTCCTACAACTGCAAGGAACTAGATTCTGCCAACAACCGGATGATCTTGGGAGCAGATTCTTCCAGGAGCCCCCGGATAACTGGTCAACACATTGATTTTAGCCTTGTAAAACTTGCCACAGAGAAACCAGCCAGTGGCCAGGCACGGTGACTCACACCTGTAATTCCAGCTCTTTGGGAGCCGAAAGCAGGCAGATCACTTGAGATCAGGAGTTTGAGACCAACCTGGCCAACATGCTGAAACCCCATCTCTACTAAAAATATAAAAATTAGCCAGGCATGGTGGTGCACGCCTGTAATCCTCGCTACTTCGGAGGTTGAGGCAGGAGAATTGCTTGACCCTGGGAGATGGAGGTTGCAGTGAGATCTGCCTCAAAAAAAAAAAAAGAAAGAAAGAAAGAAAAGAAAAAGAAACAAGCCATGCCAACATAGAAACCTGGTCTGTAGAACTGTGCAATAACAAATGTGTGTTAAGTGTGTGGTAATTCGTTATGGCAGTAATAAAAATCCAATACATGAATTACTAGTATAAATGGTATTTTACTTCTAGATTTTGGTAGTCTCACTAATAACAATCAATGCACTCGAAAATTTACTTAGTGGAGCACAGTGCCAAGCGCTTTACATATATTATCTCCTTTTTACTTCACAAAACTCTGTAAGGTAGGGACTAATATAATCACTGTTTTACAAGTAAAGAAATAAACTAAAGCACAGGAAGGTTAAAAACTTGGCAATAATCACACAGCCCACCCATGGACGAACCAAGATTCAAACTCAGGCAGTGACTGCATAGCACATGCTAGTAACCGTAATACTATGCTTCCCTCAGCACAGTACAGTGATTGGAGTATAATCTGTATTCCATATTTTGCTGAGTTATTGAACAAATTAATAAATGGATACAAAGAAATAGTTTGTCTCTACTAATTTAACCAGTCTTTTCATAATCTGTTTTATTTCAAGTACAAAATCAAGCCAACCAAGACAGTATTAGTAGGTTATTTTACTAGTGAATAAAACTAGGCTGTGGTAACAAATAGTCCCACAACCTCAGTGTGTCGGTATGACCAAGGTTTATTTCTCATTTATGCAAATTCTGTTCTGAGTTCGGCAGCACTCCAGGGCAATTGTTTCCCATACAATAATTTGGAGAATCTAGGTTCCTTTTATTTTGAGGCCATGCTGCCTCCATAGGAAGTCCTGGAAGTTACTGATGTATAAGAAAAAAGCACCTGGCTACATTACACATACTCTTCTACACTTTAGCCTTAAGGTAACATCAGTTATACTCACAAAACCATTGGCCAGTACCAGTCATATATCACCTCCCTATTGCAAGAAGCCTAAGACATGCAATCTTCTATGTGCCAAAGTGAGAAGAATCAGATATTGATAAGCACAAGAAAAATCAATCAAAATCATTAAATCCCACCATCTCCAAAGAAATAGTTATTTAAAAAAAATAGCCCCCAACTTCCTGTATCAATTGTCTAAAGAAACCCTATTTCAGCCCAGTCTGTTCAACATCCTGTCCTCCTATCTGCACTTCAAATTCTTCATGACAAAGGAAAAGTTACCAGTTTTCACGTAGGAAAGGCTCTACCTTCTTTCTTAGTCTGTACATGGCCAACCACAGGGTAAAAATTTAGATAGCCTACTTGCCTTCCAGGGACTCTCAGACCCTCACACTGTCCCCTAACTAAAGGACTTTCATTACTAATGTCAACTGGTATCAATCAAATATGTATCTACCCTCAGCCAAGACAATTCAGCTATCAAAGAAGACCAATTGAGATTTGTTTGGGTTTTTTTATTATTAAAAACTTACCCCTGAATGCTATTTCAAAATTATAGAAAGTTCCTCATCCTGCTCAAATAAGGCTTTTATAAGAATCTCATTTAGGCTCTTACTTCTTTTCTTAAATTAATTAGTGAGTAAAGGTCTTATTTTGAATTAATGAAGGTATAAGAAAGATCAGGAAATGTTTTCTAATAAGTTAATGTACATATCCGCATAGTCTTGCTATTAGCGTTCTGTATGTGTAATATCACAAATCTGATAAATGCAGCTTAAACCACAGGGATATTGGTGTTCACCTTGGAGAGATTGACTAGATCTCTTATTTTAATGGAAATCTGCAAAATTGTAAGGTTTCATGTTTTTGAAAAATGAAAAAATAAGTTTTGCTCCATGTCATGCTAGGAGGATATTTTTCTATTTATTATATTTAAAACAATGGTTCTTAAACATCAAATGTATAGAAAGATGATTTTCAGAGTTTATTAAAAACAAAGATTTCTAGTGGCTATCCTCCCCAAATGCTTTATTTAATAGGTGTCCTATGTAGCCCTAAAACTGCATTTTAACAAGAGATTCCTACAAAGTGTTTGTTTTTGGTCTACAGTGAAGTAAGGAACTCATGTCAGACTGTAAAAAATACATAGATTCCTCCATTAATAAAGTCTTGCTAAAAAAATTGTTAGCTACACTTGGTGTATTTGGTGATGAAGATGACTTATATTCTGGGGCAATACTTTGTCTTGAGCAGACAAAAAAACAGTTGATAGGGCAAAACTCGTGCACATTCCATACTCTGAGGAACCACTGGTAGATGTCCATACTTGGAAAACCCAGCTCTAAGAATACTGAGATGTGGGCTTACCCTTTCCTATAAAATACACTTCTCTTTTACAGGTCACTATTAAGTCAGACCCTTGAGAATGGTGTCCACCCTTGTCTTACTTCCTGCTTCCTATAATATATTACAATGTAGAAATATAGCTGTGAGTCTGTGTGTTCTGATAAGGGCTATGTACATGTAGGCTTAAATAAATATGTCTAGTACTCAGTCCAACTGCTAGATTCATTTGATTTTATCAATATTTTATGAATACTCATACTGTGAATGGTCATTTACTGAAAAAAATAAGTTTCTGGTACAAAATACAAAATACTCTTTCTACTTCTAATGAAATCTATTAAAATCAGAATATCAATTAAAAATAGTGAAATCTCAATTATCCCTGATTATGAAACTAATGAGTCAGCTTTAATCCAAATCACCAGATGAAATCATAGAATACCTACATTTTTAACTCTTTAATCAATTTTAATGTATTTAGTATTAAATCACACCTCTATTTGGAAAAAGCCAGTCTTAAGGGCAGGATTCAAATTTATCATATAATACCATAATATCCAATTCACGAAAAAGATATCTTCATGTCGAGGAATGTACCTGAATATGAGTGAATATGAGTTTCTTATTTTATCCTTTCTTCATTATGAAATTACAGATGTATTAAAGGTAGAGGGGCAAACAGCATGACTTATTCATATTTATAATTCTCAGAGGAACTTGGACTTAGTAGGGCTCAACAAATCAAATAAACTTAATAGTGAATTTAATTAAATTTATTGCCTATAGTATGCCTAATAATGCCAATTTTAACTTATTTTTGGTCCAACCAACAAGTATTTATTGAATGTCAACTATATTCCCTGTACTGAACTAGATGCAAAAATCACTAAGACAAAATTCTTGCAAAGTGTTTGCATTCAAGTCTGTGTGACAAACTAAACAGACAATTACAATATTATATGATAGTGCTAAAAGAAGAGTATGTAATAATAATAGTGGCCAACATTTCAATGGTTACATGGAACCGAGTAGTACTCTTGGAACTTTTCTTTTTTTCACTTGCTATTCCTCAGAAACACAAATCATTGTTTCAGTCTGAATTCTTGGATGCAAGCAACAGAAACTGACTCTGACTACTTTAGGCAAAAGGTCAGTTCATTGGAAGACTTTTGTACGCCTCACAAAATGAACAGGAAGCTGGAAGTCTGGGCTTTGGTATAGGCAGGATTCAAGGCCCCTTCAAAGGACTAAGAAACAGGAAGCAGAAGCACAGCACCCAGCTAGCTTATGGCTGGAATTGCTGGCCAGGATGCCACCACCATTACAGGCCGCCATGGCTGCCACTGCTGCTGTTATGAGAACTTCTAGTCATGCTTCAGGCCTTGTCACTTCCTCAAATTTGATGTACCCAAAGAGGGGGTCTAATTGGCCAAAATCGACACTCAATTGCCCCATGACAGTACTAGGGAAGTATACTAGGAGAGATGCAATTTCCTAAAAGGCGGGGAAGGTGCTTGAAATAACAGAGATTCTGGACGACCAAAAATTGACAAATGTTAGAATCAATGTAGATAAGACAAAATCTAAAATAAAAAATGTATTGTAAGAAAAGAGTGGGCAGAGGAAGGTGTTTTGAGATACATTAAAGTTAATGATTTTCCAAACTAGAATTTTAATTAGTACATACAAATTTGAATTCACTGCTGTTGTTTAAGGATACACCTAAATTATTTCACTCCATGCTTGAGCCATTCAAATTTGTAAAACTGTCTACTAAATAAAGCCAGTTGAGAATGTAATAAAATTTATTCACTCATTTAATAAAAATCCATTCAAAGTCACTTTTGAGACAGATAGCTATTGGATACACAATGATACAGAAATACAGACTTCTTTGGCCTTTCAGGTTCAAGAGTTTAAAAGCAAATTTAATCATAACATAACTCATGTCCCTTATTCCTTTTCATAGTAATAATGCTTTACATTTAAATGACATATTTTAACTAAGAATACTTCACTGCCCTTACTCCTCACAATACTTTTATGCTCTAAACTGAGAGTATTATTCTTTTCACTTCAGAAAAGTAAGTCACTTGTTTAAAGTTACACTGGCTATTTAGAGTAAGAACTATCAGAAGATCACTTATGCTTACCTTTACATTATTTACAAAGTCCAAATATCATTCCAAAACTCCTACTGCTTTAATAGAGAGTTACAGATGAGAATAATGAATAACCTATGTTCCAGGATTCTCTCATACAAATTTTATTGTATCTGAAAATATTGGATGACAAAGTGCAAAGTGACAGTGAGTCAAGACTTGAAGTGTTTATAGAACTAATTTTTTCAGTGGTAACAGAAAAGCTTGAGAGGAAGGAAAGACTAAACCACACCTATAAATGGCAGATGAATCAGGCTGTGACTGCAGAGTTTTTTTTCTTTTTTTATTATCTTCATGCAGGATATGGGCTACCACAACAAAAATAATTTGTGGTAATCAACTTCTACCATTCATATAGTTGATGAGAACAAAACGATTATGTTACAGTCATTTATTTCACCCAGGACAGCCTGCCTTGAGTGAGAAAAAAACACTTTTGGAGTCAAAGTTCACTTTTCACAGCCAGGGACTACTGGATTATTATAAAGATTAAATGAGATAATGTATATGAAAATACCTTGTAAACTATAAGAGAATCTTAGGTGTGCCATAAACCAGTGATCGGTGTGATAAGCTATCAGAAGGTCACCAACTTTTTAATAAATAACAAAGTATTTCAATGACTAAAGACTCAAAATAGCTAGTTATGAAAACCTTTCAGTTTTTCCATGGTAAAAAGAATACCCTCCGCTTTTGTGATGCTGCTGCTGACACAGTATTTTTTGCATAAAATATTTTAGAGATATCAGCAAGAAGAGGGTTAGTGCCATCAGTCTGTTGAAGAAAGTGACCTCAGTCCTGTAGTACTTTCTCATTCCTGACTTCACCTTTCTCTGACCTGTCATACACCTTTGGCACCCAGTTGTCTTACATACTTATTTCAAAATCTTAATAGGACAACAAATCACAACCTGATCTTTAATTGTTCTTCCCAATGAAGTGTGGAAACTGAAAACATCAAGAATTTTTGCCTCTCCAAAGAAAATGTGTACATACATAATTGGAATCATTGCAGCTGATAAGTCACAGTGTGATAAAGAGATGGGATAATAATGGCAGAATTTTAGGCATCAGACAAATTAGGAAGAAAAGGATTATACGGGCATCAGAACCCTTCTGCTAAGCCTGAAACCATACTTCCTAGGTCATCATTTAGTTGAAATAAATTGAGTCTGAACAAAAATAAACTCCAGGACAATCTAACATTATCAAAATCCAAGTCACAATAAGCATATGATTTGCAATAAGCCAGCGTGGTACACTATTGTTCTCAGAGAGGTAAGATTTCTTGCCCTCAGAGATGACTCACCCAACAGCCAGACTGATGTTAGTTTCACCCACCTGAGTTTATATCTCTGCCATGGAGGACTGGAAATACAGTGGACATTTGACTCATGGTTTTCTTTTATTTTTCTCATACTCCCTTAGTTGATGCATCATTGACTCTAAAGATCAAAGGCGAAAGAAAGATATGTACCAAAACCTTAAAAGCTGCCCCAAGTTTCTTTCAGAATCTTTCTGGCATGCTTGAGATCTGCAGACAAAATAACATACTCATTTCTACCACTGGGTTATTAGGAAAATGTTCAGTAGGAGACACAACAAAAATTTCATCTATTCAGCAAATATATATCAACCACGATGTGTCAGACATTGTTCTAGGCACTTGATTTAAAAGGGAAATGTGAATCAGAAAACAAAATTTATTAATTTCAGTGGGAAAAGTGACAAGTACTTTTTAATTGGATCTTTAGGTAAAAATTGGGTAAAACTGAGATAAACCCAAAAAGATTATTAGGTATCCTGTCTAGTACACCCTTCTGGGCCATCCCTACCTTTTGTTGTCTTTGAGTTATTTTCTATCTCTGTGACTTATAGAAAATTAATAATAATGCAAATCATTCTTGTTCATAGAAATACAAATAAGGTATGACCTGTAGAATGCAATTCATTATTGCCTCATATATTGATCCATTTTGCTTCTATTTGTAAATTCATTTCAGCATTGTTTATCTGCCTGTATGTGTGTAGATGTGAATTTGAATCCTTTTTTGAGTAGGTAACATCTTACTGCTTTCCTCATTAATTAATGTAATAAAATCTTTAACACATGTTCATCTTATGTTTGTATAAGAATCATAATTATACTTTTTAAAAAATTATCCTTAAAGAGTTTACAGTAACTATTCATTACGGGACAACCTACTTCAAAAAATATGTTTAGAAAGAAATAGTAAATTGTTTAAAGCTCTTCAAATGCAAAGTATTAAATGCAGGGAAATAGTATCTTCTTACTATTATGTGGTATTTTAAGGCATATTTGATAAGGCCTCAGAGTGCCCTCACATTTCTGATCCCAGATAGAGGAATAGAGCTGAGCTATGGTAGAAAAAAAAAGAATATAAGATCTCTTGTTATTTTTTGCTTTAAAGAAATAATAAACTGCATTGTTGTAACTCAGTGTAAGTAGATTCGAGTAAGGCAATAGATATGGGTGCCAGAAGCTACTCATATCGTTCTTTAAAATGGAAATTTACCGTCTGCTGCATCACATGGACAAAATACAGAACTATTTTTCACAGCTTGTTCACTGAACAGATTATTGTAGAAAAAAAAAAAACTTTTACATTTTCTGCAGATTCCCAAATCTCAGTCAAAAAACTCTTGGCAATTTTTAGCAGTGAAACAGATTTCACTTTCAGATTGAGATACTCCATTTAGCAGTAGTCAGATGATCTTCCAAATAAATATAGACTCGTTTCACTCTTGATTTTATTTAAAAAAAATGTTTTCATGAGGTGTCTTGGAGGAAACTTGCACTTATTTGGTTTTCCCAAGCTAAAGCAAAGAAAAACTCGAAGGTCTAAAAATCAGAGTTAAATAAAAAAAGGAATGTTAAACTGAAAATGTTATTACAAATAATGCATGTTCATCACAGTACCAATAAATAAATAACCCTATAAAACTTTAGAATTAGTTGCAAAGATGCTACAGTCTTTTCTTCCCTAAATCTCAGCTCCCCAAAATATTACTAAACAGAAGTGCATGTGTTCGGTACAATATAACAGGCAGCAATATGTTGAGATACTTCACACAAAGAGGTCTCTGGGCCACTTTTCTCTTTCAAGATTAGCTCTATCACTTAGGTGTGAGGCAACTGCACTTATAAGTTTATTTATATAACCAGTTTTTCCTTAACTACCAGTTATTAATGCCACGGAAAATAATGGCTTATTTCAAATTAAATATAACATGACCAAAATCAGAATAATGATTTAATATAATCCTATTTCTGAGATCCCACTTCTATAGATCTACGCCTCCTCCCTAAATTTCTGTACTAAATTTTGCAAATGTTTCTTCTGTTCATGAAAGGAGGCTATATTGTAATTATGAGTAAAGTCCAGAGGTATTATCTTACTTTTATACTTATAAAAACAGATGATGTGTATATGAATACCACAGGATACCCACTAAATTTCACCAAATTTTGTTGCTATTTTTAACAAGTTTTTATAGATTTGTTAAAGTTCATCCCAGTGACATTAAAGATGATCTCAATCATAAGCCAAACAACCTGGAATTTAAAGCAGATGCTTTACCAAGTAGAGAAAACCAGAAATAGTTCATGCTGCTAAAAGCATTTTATTATTCTCCTAATGAAAATTTTACTGTCTGAGAAGGATTCATTGTGTCCAGTCCCAAAAGCCACATTTCTATGTTTAATGTGACACAGAAGAATAGGTTAGTTTTTGAACTCACCAGGACTCATTGAAAAATTTCAAAGAAGAAAAGCATTTTTTCATATCCTAATTATGATTTTATAAATATTTGGATAACATGAAAGAACAAATATTCATAATTATTTCTTAATAAAAATTTAAACTATTATAAAATGTATAAAAATTGAATAAATCTACTATGTCATGATAAAGTGTTAAACTTTATAAAATTTTAATAAAACCAAGTTGCTTGGCTCCAAGGTGATAACTGAATGTGAGAAACTTGCTGTGCCTTTGCATTTAAGTGTTGATTTCATTTGTAGGTCAGTGATAGAGGAGTGGGGAAGATGGATTAGAGATAAAAATGTAAAAGCTTAACATTCAGAAATTTTTCCATCTGAAAAAAATATTTGAAATAAACCTAAAGAGTTTTTGAAATTGTAATTCAAGCAAATGGGAAAATGAGACCTTGCATACAAAAATTTTACCACCATCAAATAATATCCTTTCCTTTTTTTTATAAAATTAATCCATATCTCTGTGCCTGCTTTTAAAAGACTCATCACAATAAAACATATTCTGAACCTCAAACTGTTTGAAAGTTTAGGCAACGAAAGAGAATAACGGATAGATGAGGAAAGTGAAACACCATTTCTAGGTGCATACGGCCAATTGGCAAACCCACCACAGGGGCCAGTACTGAGCAAGTGACTTTGGGACCGAGAGGAGGACAGGAGGAGATGCAGAGAAAGAAGGAGAAGAGACAACGGCAGTTGCTCCTAATTTTTCCCAACATGTAAAGTTTAAACAACTAAAATGAATAAATAACAGAATAATTATAAATTGAAATATTCCTACGCGTCTCGGAAATTAACCCCAAATTCTGATCTTTTCTTTTAAGAACCATCTGTGAGCCCAATATATCAAGATAGATACTAACCCAAATCATAGTATTATAATAATAACCACAAGAGCTGTACCTAAAATTAAAGGATTCTTTTTACATCTTATATTGAATTTTGGAGCTTACACTCTTTAGGAATATATTTTGATGCTGGCTACTAGCCCACACTGCTGAAGTCAGTACTCAGCCTAGAGAACCCAGACCTGTTCAAGGCTATCTTCCTTATTGATGATGGTGCCTGCCTTCCGGATTGTTAAATTTTTGGAGTCTTAACCCTGTAGAGTGCCTTTATCAGACAGTTGAATTGAGCCCTTTATTAGAGTATATGTCATGGGATGAGTCAGCAAAGGACGCACCAGCTACCGTGAATCTTAGTCCATGCTTACAGCCTTGTTGCAAGACATCTTCTCCCATGGAAAGGGATTAAGTCAATTCATCATAGCTAGACTTTAGCTAATAGCCCACCAAAACACTCAGTTGACAACCAGTGTTTCCCAGCAAATAAAGAAGATAATGAAAGCTGATGACGTGGATCTACTAATGCCCAGCTGCCTGCCAGACACTCACAGCTAATGATGTAACACCACAGGTCTTAAGAATTTAGAGCATCAGATACAGGAGTCAATTGGGATTTTCCTAAACAACTGTGGCTTTCTCAGAAGACTACAGCTGTGAAGTTATGAGGCTATAGTTATTGTTGCTTTTCCTTTTTTTTTAAAGAGGACCAAAGATAAGAGGGGTGAAAGTGGTGAATTATCCCTCGAGTAATTTCTATCACATGGCCCTTACCCTGCTAATGGTTATCTTTTCCTCATCACCCAACTTCCTTTTTACCTCTGGCTCAGCCACTCAGTCTCTGTGACCTGTAGATTTCCCTGACCTAACTACTTGTGCCTATGCACTTATTTGCTCAAACTATTACCTCATTGCCTTGCCATTTTAATAAAGTGCTTATATATTTTTAGTGGTTACAAAATATAGCATGCCAGAGATGAAAATCCCCTTGATCCTAAATGGGACACCTGCGGTAAACGCAAAGATAGCTAGCCCATATTTCTCACTCTCTCACTTTCTCTCTCTTCTCTTTTCTTGTCTCTTTGGCTTTTTTTTTTTTTTTTTGTAATGGGAGAAAGAAGAGGGAGTGCTTTTCTTACTCTGAAATCCTTGTTCAGTAAATGATGGCTTTTCAACATTTACCTGTTTTTGTGGTAATACTATAAATTTCATTCCAGCAATTCCATTCCTTTCAATAGTCATTTTACTCTTCATTTTCTAGGTGAACTTTAACTGCTTCCTTTGTGCATGCCAAAATGCATTTCTAGATTTTTTTACCAAAGTTTGGGCATGTTACACAGAAAGGTAATATAGTAAGAATGTGAGCAATACTTTTTAAATAAAAAGGGAAATCAAGAGGCATTTTATCCTTAACTTTCAAAGTTGTAGAATTTTAGAACTTTCTGTGACCCAAGAGATCATCTAAACCTAAATTCTCATTTTACACATGAAGAAACCAAGACACAGAGAGCTCTGTCGGACCTAGAACTGGTTCCCTGGACTCTTAAAACATATTCCAATACCCTGTCTAGTAGACCTATAGCTTATTTTTACCTTTTTCATTTTATTATCTCAACAAATTAATAAGTAAACATAAAGTCTGTAGTTACTTCACTTTGTGGGGACTTCCTTCATTAAATTTCTCACACCATTAAAAAAGTATCTAAAATTGTTATGCATTTGTTTTATGGGTGAACTGTTTTTCATAAGGACAATATAAAATATTATTCACTGGCAAGAAAATTTGTAGTCACTGACTGTGACACATAAGTCTCTTATGAGTTGATAATTTACAAGAAATTGGGTGCAAATGTGTATTTATTTTTTATTTAGATTTTCATGGTCTCTTTTACTCCAAAGAATCATTTTTACATGAGTCTTTGTCCCAGGAAGAAATGTTGTGATTAAATTTCACGGGCAGACTCACTGCTGCCCAGCTGATTAAATCCCAATTCTTTCTCAGTGTTTAGTAGCCTCTTTTTTTAAGCCACAAGTTTGTATTTTTAATTCGTAGCCTCCGAGGAAGCTATTGGGCATTTGAATGCCATCCTTACTTGGGCCTTGCTCACAAGAAATGATAGATTGTAAGAGATATTTTACTAAGTAAATTACAAAATACAACAATCATTTGAAACTCTAGGGGGGGAAATTAAGCTAAATGTCAATGGTATTCTCACATAAAATTTACTGTAATGTGAGTCCTGACTTCCAGGACAACTTGAGTTTTTGCATTTGGAAGGGGGTTTGGGGTCATTCCACTGATATCAAATCTATCAAAATGAGCAGAGATCAAAGCTCTGAATGTCTTGGCATCTCTGATTTTTATTAAAAGTTTCCCTTGGCTTCCTGGCTGGATCTATTATTCTCAACAGATCTCGGTGGTACCAATGATTCAGATTCTATAACCTGGCCCTTTTAATTAACCTGGGTATTGAAACCACCTTTTGACTGTGAAGACATAATGTGTTGGTATCACAAATGATGGAAAGGAAATTATTAATAACTAAGATTTAGAAAGAATATTCTTTTGCCAGTTTTGACTTATTTTATGCAATTTGCTTAATTCCATCTAAGGAATCAGGGGAACTCTCAATAAATACATACAAAAAAGTTTTTTAATGTGATAAAAGTAAGAAAATTGAATAGTGAATAATTGTTCATTAAATCTTTCTTTCTGTCATCAATCAATGACTTGTGCCCTAACCCACAAATAATTCACAAGCTACAAAAGATGGCTTAACAATTTGGCAAAAACATAAAATCTCTGTATCAAATAAACAAAAATCCCATCTCCTCACTTCTATGGTTGAGAATCTATTTTATTAAATAAGGGAGATTATTTTGTTTTTCATTAAAAGTAAACCTGAATGTTTACACTCTTTATTGTGATTTAGCAATTTAAATTAAAAATATGTTTTCTGCTTCGATTTGTCAGTAAATAATGGGTAAATAAGATGAATCTTATTACATTTTCAAAGGCCAATGTTCTGCTCTCTACTTATCTTACTATTTTATTCTACATCTCTTAATAAGCTAAATTTTTCACTTTTAAAATGACTTTTCCTGTTCATCTACTACACAGGCTGCAGATCAAATCTCCATAAATTTACAATTGTAAAGAATCCCTTTTACAAGAGCAAAAAACCAGTCATCTTTAATGCATTGGGCTTTTTACAATTATACAACAAATTTTTTTACTTTACTTTTAGAAAAAAAGAAAATATTAATATCTTAACATTTATGTTATGCCATGCAATAAAAACAACTCATAACTTTTTCTCATATTTCACCAAGTTTTCTATTAGAACTTCTTCCTGGCTATTTAAATATGCTTAAACTAATGGTTTTCTGTAATTTGTCTTTTTTCTTTAGAAACATACCGTGCCATTGTCAGTTTTTAAAAAGAAGCAATTTTCTGACTTTTGAGATTGAGTACGTAGGTCAAGGAAAAATGACTACTGTTGAAAACCTGTAATTAAACAGAAAATGCAGCTGCACTTATGAGAAACTAAAATGAAGTTTATTAATACTTGATTCTGAAATGGATTTTTGAATTTTGGGTTAAGGTTTCATTTAGAGCCATGCCTTATCTATACCCTCTTTGCTGATTACTTTTCATAAGCAATATGTAGGAATATAATAATCCTACTTTTATGAAGAAACATTTCTGATCTATTTCCTTTTCTCCTTAAAATATCAATTTCAGAAGTATTTTAAAACAAACTAGTGAAATATTCTTTGTCAATTTGCTTTTCTTTTGTGATTACTCTAGATAAATACATGTTCTCCCCAAACATTAAAAAAGTATGTTCAATAAATACATTTTAAGCACAAATTTTTATGATCATTTCATAAAGGGTAGCCTTTTAGAATATAAAATAATCAAAGCTTTCTTTTTGTATTGATTTTCATCATCATTAATTTTTCTAAATGTGACATATATCATTTCATTTCATTAAACAATACTCATAAAGGAGGTTTACTAAGAATACAAGCTAATTTTTGAATTTATGAGATTACCAGATCTATTTGCTGAGTATACCTCCTATTTGAACAATTCATCAAATTAGGTTACATTTAAAGAGTTAAAATATTTTGTACAAACACAAAACTAATAAACAAATAAAACCATTTAGAACAATTTAAAAAGTCATAATATTTGTCACTGCTTAATTTTAATGGTGCATTTTAACAAATCAAGATAAACACCCTTTAACCTCCCCTACAAAACTCTTGGATTGAAATCTGAATAACATTTACATAAAATTAGGTATAATGTGAAAGCCTTCTTAAAGCAAATGAGAGTACTATAAAATTATTTATGTATTGAAATAGTAGTAATCTCCATTTAGAAGCTGAAGCTGAATGTCAGAATATACATAAATGTTTGCTGCATCTTTAATTATAAAGCTTATGATTTTTCATAAGTATATGTTAAGTGGCACAGCAATATAAAAAAATAGTAATTATTTAACTGCAAATATCTAAAATCTTAAGCTTTGAAACTTAGTTCTACTTTTGAAAAAATAACTTTTTTCTGAGGAAGAATGTTCTTGTTCTGTTTTTGCTTTTGTTTAGAACCATTTTAAACACATCTTCAACCAACGTGTTGATTTATTTATTCTGACTACATGTACTCTAAAACGATGGGATAGTGGCTGGGAGACAGTGATATAAAACAATATACTTTTCAATTACTACAGACTTATGGAAAGAAAGTACTAGGAAGTGAGAAAAGCACCCAGTTTGAGTGGGAAAGAATTACAATAAAACTAGGGCTTTAATGAACACACTCCTCTTTGACATTCTAGGTCAGTCCTGTTATACCTGCGTGGTTTGGTCATTTCTGTTCATTTGTTAATGTGCTAAGGCCCTTGGAATTCTATTTTCCAGATGCTTATATTCCATAGAGGAAAGGAAAACTGATCCATGAAGTTGTTATTTGCATAAAATGCAGAGGCATCTGTCACTGGCTTCTTCCTGGTTGAGTTCGGCATGCAGGGATTCTGCAGCTGCTCTGCCGCAGCATTAGGTCCCCATGCGGGCAGCGAGAGTCAACGGTGAGGACAGCATCTAGGGGCAGGGTGAGAACTTGCTCAGTTCATAATCAGGGTATTTACAATTATATTTTTGATAGGATGATGACATCACTGGTCCTGTCTCTCTCTTTCTCTCTCTCTCTCTGTGTCTCTGTCTCTCTCTCTCTCTCACACACACACACACACACACACACACAACTAGCTCAGATTCAGCCCAAGAACAATTGTAATTGACCACATTTTTCTGTAAATATGTTTCTTATCAAGGTCATGATAAATTAATCATAATCTTGTTGCATAGCGTTAATGTAGCACAGAGGGTGGAAATCGGAAGGCAAGGTTAGGCTTATTCGCAGGCCTTCATTTTAGGGGAGATTTTTGTTTTGTTTGCCTTTGGTTTTGTCTCCTTTTCTCTTGAGTCTAATTAAAAACCTATCAGTGTGGGTATCTTTGTGCCCACTTCACACACTCACAGAAAAGAAACGTTGCTTCTATTGCTAAAGTAAATTGTAAAATCAGAATGGATCAGGCCCGTCATGGTGGCTCAAATAAACTTTAAAGAGGTATACTGCAGCTTCATTATGTTTCAGCATTTATTCCTGCATGACACTCAAACCAACAATTACAAGTGTCAAGTTTAGTGACCAAAAATGTCTACAAACTCCATGACTGCATTGTTGCACAAACCTAGATATGATTTTCCACAAAGATAAATATAAATCAGTTCAAAGCCAAATCATTTGTAATATTTTCCAAAGCATATTTCAAATAGATCTCAAAGTGCCTGATGTGGTAATACTATTTATAAAATACTTGGTATTAGTCTGCCTTCATTTTTCAGTGCCGATATATTCACTATGACCTGTTTCCTGAGGATAGAGTTACTGCAATCTGTCTGACAAGGACTTTGTGAGTAAAATGGCACAAAGAAGCAGGCATAGTAACCAGTTAACAAATTCAGACTTTGAAATAATAACAGTTCTTTGTAACAAACTGGGATAATTGGGCTAAAAGTTTCTCTGATGCAAGTTCATCAGTAAGCAGTAATCAGATAGGAGGCTTCTTTGAAACTTTTCTGATTCATAAATAATATAGTAGTTTACAAAGAGGAAGTTTGTGGGAAGCAGCAGTAAACAGTCTCGCAATCCATCTGTTATTATGGAATCCAGAAGAGCTGAATCAGGATCCACGTTGTTTATGATATAAAAGATGCTCGGGAAATGTTGCTGAAATAATTATTAACCAAAAATGTCATGTTTTTACTTTTTAGAAGTCTGAGTCATATGTGGTTGTGATGAAATGTACCCACCTGTGTGAATAAATGCAGGAAGTTTACCTGGATTAATAATGTAACAGAACACCAAATGCAATTCTTAAAAAGTTTTTAAATAGGCATTGCAGAATGTGTTCTTATTTTTTTAATTACTGGTTAATTTTTCAAAATTACATTCAAATATATTCTTTTTAAGCATAATGTGATTCTTCAGAATATAGCTTTAGAATTCCATTTGATAAAAAAGTGATTAAATTCAGCGCTGAGTATGAAATTAAAATAGCCAAAGCTAAAATTGTCTTTCTACTCTGTCTCTTGACCTTGACCTCACCCCAGTTTTTCTCCTCACCAACAGTCCTAGCACACACACAAACACACACACACAGAGAAAGAGAGAGAGTTAAAGGAAAGGAAAGATTTAGGGTGAGAGTTGCAGTGTTGCCTCCTTTTCAGGTCCAGGAATTATTCCTCAAGACTAACTTTTTTGATACTTATTTAATTGTTCAAAATTTTGCAAAGAACAAACCAAGAAATGTGTTACTATAAAGAAATTTCAACAGTGAGACCTGCCTTGTTTCATATTTACTCTAAATGAAGTCAAAATGTTTTTCCTTGTACATCTTTTTGTCTGAAGCATGATAATAAATACATAAATCCTATCATAGTAAGATAAGCCACCACAGCTGGAAAACATGGTTGGTAATACACAACCAGAGCAGAAGTTTTAACATCCTAAAACAATAGCAACACAATGATGTCTATGGATTTCCAATAATACTAACTTAGAAACGTAATACAATTAATCCATCACTTACCCTAAATTAGCTAGAAATAGATTTTGCTCATTATGGGGAAAATAAACTAAAAACCTAACCAAAATAGAATGCCCATATGAAGATGCAGCTATATTGACCATAAGTAACAGGTATATGGATCTAAAACATTGATCATGCATCATTTTTCTTGAGTTTCAAATTGGTTTGGGTTTTTTTTTTCTGTATTTTATAGAAAACCTATAGAATAAAAATCCACACATAATCCTCCTTTAAGGGCATTCTATTGGGCTAAACCGTACAGAAACCAGCTTGAATAACAAGAATTCGTTATTCTCTGCCTGCAAACATTGACAACAGTGCCATCTTCTGGCTCTATAAAAGCAACTCCTGCATTCTACTTTTGTCAAACTGCTGAAAGTTCTTTCTACCGAGAATGAATAATCCTCAACCAGGTTTTCGAATACAATGGTCTTTATTAACAAGTGCGAGTTTGCGCCTTTATAACTAGGACCAGGACAACTTAACTCCTGTGTTTCTTTTCCTTTGGCGTATATACCTTTGTAAGTAGTAAACTCTTTATTTCTATGTTAATTCTCTTTCTCACTCATCCATTCTTATCTTCAATTTCTGGTGTTTTACTTAACCTTAGCCCATGCCTACCTACTTGCTTAGTTCTAAGAATTTGTTTCTCTCTGTATAGTTCTAAGTATGTGTCTCTATTCCTCTTGTTCTATTTGATCTCTGCAGCTCTATTGGTGATGTTTATTTGGAATTAATTTCATACTTTAATTCTGTACTCTCTAGTATTTCTTTTTCCTATCTCCTCATGGCTTTCTTTTAAACCTCCTCTGTATTTTTCTAACGTTGTCCAAATTGGTAAAATTTAACAATTAGTAAAATGTAAATGAATAGCTGTAATTGCTTTAAAAATCTCATAGCCATAAAATACTATCTGCTGTTGATGAACATTGGAAGAAAAGCTACATCTTTTCATGTACATTCGGCAACAGATAAATAACCAAAATAGTAATGTCTCTTTCAACCTTTCAATATGTTCAGTACAGTTAAACACCAAATGGAGTAATGGTAACATGCAAGGGGAATTCTGCATTTCCCTAACAAGTTTAAAACTGCTATTCAAAGAGGAATAGCAGTGCTTTGGACAGGATGAGTGATCAACAGATACTGAATGAAAAATAATTAGGTGATCAGCTCCAAACAGGGGCACAGGAAATGACACAGGTGAATGGAATACGAGTTTGTAGAAAGGAGGGCAGAATGTGTGGAAATTTCCTAATCAAATGAGTACACAAAAGACATTGGAGCTTTTTTCCCTTCAAAAAAAAAGTTGCATTTTTTTTAAGCACTAAGCTTGTCAAATTTTAATCAGGGAGATAGATGAGTGACAGATGAGGAGTAGTAAATGATGAGAAATTTTCAGCGAGCAAAAAAACGAGTGAAAATGGAGAACAAAAGCTGAAACAGGGAAGCGAGCTAGATGGTAAGGGGAAACAGAGGAGAGAAGGGGAGTAGCCAGGGCGAGACCACAGAAACCCAGGTGAACCAAAGCTCTTTCTTGAACCTTGTGCAGGAAGAAAAGAAACCAAAATACTGATTGTTGCCCAGGGCTTTGTGAATCAAAGTAATGTGCTATCCAGAGCAAAGTGAGGAAAACACAAAAGAACAGATTTGAGGGTCTGCTGACCTGACTTCAATGGCAAGTGAATTATGAAAATTCTTGCGGAAATTATAACCCAGCCACACAATGCCACATGGATGTACCTCCTGCTTCACAATCAATGTATGACAGTGTCACTCTCCTGCTAGCCCAGCAGTTCCCAGACTTTGCACCTTAACATCACTTGGAAAGCTTTTGAAAGTCCTGATGCCCACATCACACTCTCATACAAACTATTTAAATATGACTTTCTGGGGGCCTAGCAGGCATTAGTATACACATTCACAGATCCTCATATCAGTCCAATGTGTAGCACAGTTTGGGAACCACCAAAGTAGACTAAAAATGTTTCCAAGGGCAAGGTCTATAGCTCGGCCCCTTTTGTTACCTTCGGGGTATTAGGCATAGTGGCTGCATTACACACCCTTGTTAAGCGAAAGTAGTAAACATTAGCTTTGGACCTTCCACCTTTGTGTGTGTTTCAGAGTCACGGACTTTCCTTCCTTTCTCCTGAACTTGAGAATTGAATATTTCTGCTTCCTAATCCCATGACCTAGGACGAGCTACTTAACTCTCTCAGCTTTAGTTTCTTCGTTTGTGAAGTGGGCTTTATCACAAAGCTGTTGAGAGGATCAAGTGAGATAATGCGAGCAAATCCCTCGGCTTTGTGCCTGCCAAATAGTCAACGCTCCAAAAATGTCAGCCGGTATTATTATCCATTTATTCATGAGTTAATTCCCTGCCAACATAAAGGATTTTTTAAAAGTCTTTTGAGAAAGAAAGTATCAAGAACTTTATCACAGCAGCCTGAAAAAGGGAAGTCCAAGAGACAAGAGGAAGAAACAATCTTTTTTTGAAGGGTTAGGAGAAAGTTGAAGATGCATGAAGGATGGGATATTTATATTAAATCCAACTCAATGCCTTATATTTTAGCCCACAGCTCCCAATTAAAGAGGGTGAGATTTAGAAAATCAATCAATAATTAACCAGTTGTTTGGAAAAACAGAAACATGCTTCAAGGGAGGGAACATTATAGCAAGTGAAGACAAAGTTTAGGGTCCCTCACTTCTTCCTGTCCCTTAAGCCGGGCCCTTGGAGCCTAGACAAGTGAGCGTGTGCCTGGTGTCCAGTGGCCCCTGTAAGGCAGTGTAGGTGGAAGCTCTCCCATGAGCCCAGCCTTCTGACCCACTTTCAGCTGGTCAACCCAGGAGACCTCACTTTGTCTTCTTGTGGCCAGAAATTCATCCTGAAATAGAGCAATTCTGAAAATGGGAGACTCTGATTTTTAACTGCCCCTGCCGGCCTCTGTGCTAGAGTTTTGCAGACCCCGTACAAGTTGTCCGATTGCAAAGAACTCAGTTATTGCAGCCTAAGTGAGGGGTGGGCACAGCAGCAGAAGTGTTGGGGCAGGGATGCCAGGGCAGAAGAAATTGCACTGTGAACAGGGCGACAGCTTATAATTGAGTTAAATGTATTATCTTTAAGCGGTTGAAGTCTGAAAGGCAAATTAACCTAAGAAGCCCTCCATAACCATTATGGTGGGGTAAAAAGCAGATCACTCTAGGTAGGAAGGGTTTCATCAGAGGCCAGGAAAACTAGATGATTGGCCATTATGTGTAAATTGGAATCTGTTTTCACAATAATCAACTTGTTAATTTTCAATGAAATTATTTCAAAGAAATTTTAGCATTTCCTGAACTCTCTTTATTTGCTTCTATCCTTTTCTTTCACCAGATGGACATAATGTCAATGTTTAAAAGGAAGTATTTATGCCTTTCTTTCAACAGTTAATTATTACCTGTCAGGCAGCTGAAGATATCAGGCAAGGCTAAGCAAAGTAAAATGTGTCACTTTTCCAGGCAGAAATTCACCCACTCAACAAATGTATATTGAGTACCTGATGTGTGCAGGGCACAGAGCTTGTTTCACTGAAAGCTGGTCAGTAAACTCAGAAAGAGAGAGAGCCCATTGCCCTCCACCATTCTAAACTTACACAAGCAAGGAACCAAGATGTTATGGATTGGACTGTGTCTCCCCAAAATGTATCTGTTGAAGCGCTAACCTTCATTATCTAAGAATAAGACCATATGTGGAGATAAAGCAGGGGTCCCTAAACCACTTCCCACCCCTCCCTACCACAGACCAGTACCAGTGTGTGGCCAGTTAGGAACCGAGCTGCACAACAGGAGGTGAGCAGCTAGCAAAGTGTCATCTGTATTTACAGCGGCTCCCCATTGTTTGCATTACCGCCTGAGCTCCTCCTCCTGTCAGATCAGCAGCAGCATTAGATTCTCAGAGGAGTGCCAACCCTATTGTGAACTGCGCATGTGAGGGATCCAGGTTGTGTGCTCCTTTTGAGAATCTAATGACTGATGATCTGTCACTGTCTCCCATCACCCCCCAGATGGGACCATCTACTTGCAGGAAAACAAGCTCAGGGCTCCCACTGATTCTATGTTATGGTGAGTTGTATAATTATTTCTTTATATATTACAATGTAATAATAGAAATAAAGTGCACAATAAATGTAATATGCTTGAATCATCCCCAAACCATCCCCTCCCACCCCACCCATTTGTGGAAAAATTTTCTGCCACAGAACCAGTCCCTGGTGCCAAAAAGGTTGGAGACCACTGAGTTAGAGCCTTTAAAGAAGTGTTTAAGTTAAAATAAGGCCTTTAGGGTAGGCCCTTATTCAATCTCCCTGGTGTCCTCATAAGAGGAGGAAATTTGGACATGTGAAGACATGCCAGGATTCCGTGCGCACTGAGAAAAGACCACGTGAGGGTATCATAAGAAGATGGGCATCTACAAGCCACGGAGAGCGGCCTCAAGAGAAACCAATCTTGCTGACACCTTGATCTTGCACTTCTGGCCTCCAGAACTGTGGGAAGATAAATGCTATTTATTTAAATAGCATTGTTTAAGCCACCCATTTTGGCTTATTTTGTGATGACAAAAGTATTTCTTTATAGCAGCCCTAGCAAAATAACATATAAGCCAAACATTTATAGGACCAAAATGACTTAGTTCTTCCTCATGCACGGCAAACTCTAGTTCCTTCAGTTATCATTTTGTGTCCTCTTTTTTCTGGAAGTCTCAGCCCTAAATTAGTCCCTGAATCCTCTAGACAAAAACTCACTACTCTTTTCCTGTAACAAAGGAATTTGTATGTATGGGTATGTGTGTGTGTGTGTGTGTGTGTGTGTGTGTGGTAAATATCCCATAATCAAAAACTGTTTCCTAGTGAGTTACAGAGACAAAATGCTTGAAAAAGTATGTGCCATCTTGTTACATTCTCTTAATTCTCTTTAGAGTGAGTACAATAAAGTAAAACTTCATTATATCATGGAATATAGTTTGTACAAAATAGTACTACTTCTACATTGAAAGATTAGTTCTGCCTGGATCCAGTACACATGTCATATTTCTGGAAAGTCATTTGACACGAATCAGTCTAAAAAATAAAACAAGCAGGTGCATAATATATTACCCAGAATAAAATAAACATGGCTTCATTTGTAAGTGCCAGAGTATTCGTCCATTAAATCTCCATCAGCTACTGCATCTTTGGCGCCCTCTTGTGTCCATTTTGGGATAGGTTTTTTTCGTGGAATTTGCGAGCCATTCACCCCACGGCATCTCTAATTCAATCCCTCAAAAATGCAAGCGAGCACTCGATAGAAATCAATCTCTCCTTTGTCTACATAAATTATACCAATTGTAAAAATACTATTTGGTTAAAATATATATTATAAGGTTTCAAATTTTAAGTAAACATTTCTATACCCATTTGACTTCCTGAATATTTGAGCTTTTTTCTGTAGATTATTATAGAGAAAAGTTTTTTCTCTTGCTTTTATAGTTAATAGGTATTCATATTTATTTGTTGATCCTTCAGCATTTTAGTTCTAAAATGTAGGTCCCTTAGGTATCCTTTAAAAATTAATTTTTAACTCAGATTTCCACTGAAAAATATTATGTAAAACATTTTTACAAATCAAACCATAAAGCATGTTCTCTGCCATGACTATATCTGTACAGTTTTGTTTGAGATACCAATTGTTAATACCATCATTGCTATTTCCACCAAAAAGATGAATAAATATAAGCAAATTCCCAAAACATGACTTCATGCAGATTAGCTTAGTACATTGGTGATTACAGTACAAAGGTCACATTGCGTGTTAAAGTTAATTTCCCCAATTCTGATCTAATAAGGCATCCACCTTGGTTATTTCCTTGTTTTGTATAGATATCATAAAATATGAATTGGCATCTATATCACAAATCATCTGGGCCTATCCCTATTTCTCATTACTAACATTTAGTTCAAATACCATTCATCAAAATCTAACCACCCAATTTACATTTATACTGTATTCAGATAAATAACCATGTTCATCTGGGGCATGGGCTTTATTTCTCCTGAAGGCATAATTAGGGCCAGGCGTGGTGGCTCATGCCTGTAATACAGCACTTTGGGAGGCTAAGGTGGGAGGATGGCTTGAGCCCAGGTCAAGGCTGCAGTGAGTCATGATTGTGCCACTGCACTCCAACCTGGGCAACAGAGTGAGACCCTGTGTCTCAAGAAAAATTAAAAAATTTAAAAATAAAGGCATCATTAAATTCCCCAAGTAAATTCATTAAAATTTACTCCGTAGGCAAGGGACTGGCAAACTGACAAATAAGGACTATTTCAGAAGTTTCCAAAAGATGCAAGGCAAAATAAATACCTCATAAGTCATCAGCGAGATGGACAACTGTTGAGAACAAACAGAAGCAACTTTACGCTGGAATCAGCAAAAGCTGCTGTGAGGTAGAACAAGAACGTTTGACAGCAAAGTGTGCACCAGCCAGGGACCTTGGACAGATCATCACCAGCAAAACAGGGATAATTCTTACTGTATCCATTGTTAATGGGATAGCACATAAGAAATACTTAAAGAAAAGGGTATGAGTAAAAAGATGCATTTAATGAATTAATGCAGTTTAGATATTTAATATAGGGTTAGAAGCAAATATACAAATAATGCTTTTATTCTTAGAAAACATCTTTATTCTTTCAGACTCTGAGAATTAGTCTAAAGTTGCAGATAAGTACAAAATTACAAACACAAAGCCAGAATTCACCTTTTTGTGGGGGAACATGGGAAGAAGGTAAAGCAAAGTGTCTGTGATTTTGTATCAACCTGGTTAGGCCACAGTGCCCATTTGTTTGGTCAAACATTAGTCTAAATGTAGCTGCAAAGGTTTTTTTTTTTAAATAAACTTTGAATGAAGCAGATTAACCTCCATAATGTGGCCGAGTCTTATTTAATCAGTTGAAGGCCTGAATTCTACAGCAGATTTTGAAAATGCCAATATTCATAACGGCATGAGCCAATTCCTTATAATAAATATTTCTTACACACACTCTCTTTCTCTCCACACACATACACAACACACACACTCACACACACATCCTTTTGGCTTTGTTTCTCTGGAGAACCCTGGCATACGTAATCCATATGTTTTATAAATATTATATATATTTATATTTATATATATATCTTACACATACTCTGTATGCATATATATGGATGCATGTGTGTATTTCTCATAGAACAAGGTCAAAAGTATCCTTGACAAGGGTACTTTTATAAATAGGTTATAGCGTTCTGGCAAAGCGGGAATTAGTTGAGGATTAAGATGTTACAACCTTCTCCAGGCCTGAATGAAACTATGGCCTGAGATTTTCTAATTCCGCAGGAGCTTGCCTCACCCTAACCTCACTGCAAGGTACCAGGTGGGTCATGCACCCCTCATTACACTGAATCTGCCCCTCCTCCCCTCTCTACTGTCACTCTCTAGCCTGTGACCTCCTTTGCCTATGACAGTGTCCTCTCTGGTCAGCCTTATTCCAGTCCTCCCCACACCCTTCTCCCCAGTGCAACCACCACCTTCTCGCCAGAGGAATCAAATCACATCACTCCCTTAAACCTTTGGGTGGCTGTCACTATGCCTCCCCTTTGTCACTGTCATTCTTTTAAAACATAATTACTTGTATTTCCTCAACCACACCCCCATTGTGTACTACTACACGCCTTTACAGAAGTGGCTACCGCTTCTTGGAATGGTCTCCTCTTGTCTTCTCTTCTCCTTCTCATGCAAATCCAGTACAAGCATTGCTGCGTCTGAAAGCCTTCCCAGCCAACCCCTCACAGCAGAATTCACCACTGCCTCTTCCAGGAGGCTGCTTTGCATTGCATCCTGTGATAATAATCAGCCCCTAGTTGATTCATCTTTGCCTACCAAGCACATGGCCCAGTGCCTGGCACACAGTGGGCCCTTGCAGAGTGATTACTTGAGAGAAGTGAATTGAATTCACCAGATGCCTAGGTGCAAGCTGCCATCCTGACTACCTATTAGTGAGAGGGCTGCAGGGGGTGGGGAAGGTGTCTGTTCACATCCCTAGCTGGAGCCAAGGAAAAGATCTTCCATCTTTCCTTGAGGAGTGGTCAGAAAATCTAAAGTTAATGATCTGGTGCCTGCCTGGCTGGGACAAGGGTCACAGGAAGGCTGTGCCTGGGGAGTGTGTAGGGCTGGAATTAGGGGATAAGAAAGAAGACAGGATATCCTGGACTGACAGAGGAAGTGAACTCAAGAAAAACAGAGGCCATCAGGCCTGAGTTTTTGAGAGAAAGATCTGGAGTAACGGAGAACCTGGGAAGTGGTAGCACAAAATAATGGTGATGATAACAGCAGCCATAAGCAAGACTGAAATAGAATGTGTGACAGAAGTTCAGAGGTAGCAGGAAGAGACAGTGAACGAGAAGATACAATTGGAAAACCTTCTGTTGATGGGCGAAGAGCCGGCAAGTGGAGAAGAGGGTGGCGGGTGAAATATTTTTGTTTTTAAATCAATAACTTGTCTTAAAATGACAACTGAACTTGCTATTAATTAATTTTCATACTCATCTTTTTTTGTGTGTTTGTTTTTAGTTTAGTTTGTTTTGTTTTTTGAGATGGAGTCTTGCTCTGTCAACCAGGCTGGAGTGCAGTGGCACAATCTTGGCTCAAGGGATTCTCCTACCTCAGCTTCCTGAGTAGCAGGGACTACAGGCACCCGCCACCATGCCCAGCTAATTTTTTGTATTTTTAGTAGAGACAGTATTTCACCATGTTAGCCAGGATGGTCTCGATCTCCTGACCTTGTGATCCGCTCGCCTCAGCCTCCCAAAGTGCTGGGATTACAAGCGTGAGCCACCACGCCCAGCTTCATATTCATCTTTCATAAAAGCTTCTTTGGGAATGATAAGCCCTCATATGACACAACTTGATCCTCTCTTTGAAGTGTCTATGAATTTTTCATGGCTTCCAACATTAATTATATTGTTTTATCATCACTTCTCTTTTTGGAAACACTCCTAAAAATGTTTTAGAATGTGGGCATGGAAAAAAATTACATTATCTTAAATTACTATGAATGAAGAAGGTAAGAACATTCAAGGAAATGGCAAAGAGGGAATTAAATGCAGGTTTTTTCCAGGTAACTCCAGCAAACACTAACAAAGGGATGACTTGAGAAATCAATAATCTGGTTCTTCTTTGCCTATAGAATCAAGTTGGTTCAAAAATGGAGCCAAACGTTTTACATTAAGAACAACTGGCATACTAAAATAATTATTTATAAGTAATAACATGTTAGTCTGAAACTTTAGATACCAGTCCTGACTCTCAGGACTGGGAAAACGCACTTGGCCCAGCTCAGAAGCCACTGAAACACTGTGGGTTTGGCACCTCATGTCAAGCCCAATCCCTTTGCTATTTGAGTTCATTTATTCTTGGCAAAATATAACTTCCTGCCCCTAAGAAGAAAGATTTTTAAAGTCTCATAAAAATGATTCCAAAGTTTACTTGGACTTCAAAAGGCTCTTACAAAACAACATTTTTATTAGTTAAATTTATGGAATATGGTGCATAAGGATTACATTTTCTTTTATCTTAAATAAATAACAATTAGGGCAAAACCAATGGGATGTGGAGTTGGGAGAAGCTTGGCAAAGAAAAAATCCACAGGGGACCACTTTGCCATGAGTTACAGGAAAAATAGAATCTCCAGAGAGGGAGTGTGCTCTCTCTAGGAACTCTAGAACTGGGACGCAGCTCAGTTTTTCTTCAGATCATCAAAGCCCAGCGCTTACTACCAAGGGAGATGTCCTTACACTAAGGTCTCTGTATAATAGCTCACATCAGGTCTGGTCCGATACCAGAAGGCAAAAAGAACCTGATAATGTGTATTGCTGACATCTTACTGGGTGCTCATGTTCTTCAAAAGATGAAAAGACCGAGTTACCTTCTCCAGTAAAGGCTGAGCACCAGCAGGAAGAGCTGAGGTGTGAACAGGAAAGCCCCAGGTCATGAGTCTGCCTATTTTCACAGCCTGGGCAATACCCAGTCTCAGAAAGAAGATCCCAGGAATGTGGCTCACGCCTTCCCAATGCCCACTCTACTTGATTATTAATCTTAGATTTTAAGTGCTGGGTTAGGTTAAAAGTCTTGAAATTTAGCGCACTAGATTTATTTAGTATAATAGATCTTTGTTAACCCAGCATTCATTGTGTGACTTCCTGAAGATGCCAGATTGTTTAGGAAAGCAAAAATCACCATAACATTAAGTGTTTACTAGTAATCTGACAACTTATAAAAATTAGTCCCCACTCCAGGAGTGCTCCTGGCTGGGTCCATCCCCACATAAAGCCAAGGCTTTGTTCATTAATTTTTCCCCAGATAGTCTGCTGTTGGAAATGTTGAACAGTATAGTGCTACATGCTGCAAATTGATATAAGTCTTGCAAAAGATGCAGGCTTTCACGGTGCCAGTGAAAGTGACGTTGGTGGATCTGCTGGAATTGCAGGCAAAGCCATTCCATATCCTGCCCTGGAGGTGTCTAAACAGACAGCTGCAGAGAGGGACTGCCTAGGGCCCCAGGTGTGATCACGGAGAGCCTGTGCCAGCAAGGCTGATGGCTGAGGAGGTGGTGGGGAGGGGAAACTCAGAATTGGTAAGCGAAAGGAAAACACTCAGAATGGGTTGGGAACATCCTGCAGGTACCAGAAAATGAGGATAATGTGAAAAATATAGTGACAATGATTAAAAAATCAAAGGATCTGACTTAAGGGAATTCTCATGGAAAAGTTGTGATAATTCAAATATTAAATAATTATTATTGTTACATTATAATTAAATAAAAATAAAATTAGTGTTAGGTATAAAATAAAAATAGTATTAGGTAATTGGAATGATTTGATCTATGAAAGATTGAGTTCAAAATCAAAGTCAAAGGAGAAAAGCTAAAAGAAATAGTAAAAAAAAGGAAACTTATAATACAAAAGAAGAATGAAAACAGGATTTATGTTTGTCATTATTTCATGAGGTAAGGGATGTATATATGCCTATATGTATACCAATGTACATACATATGCATATATGAATTATATGCACAAATTTTGCTGCTATATTAGTTTATAAATATGTGTGTATATAATATATATGTTCAGGGTAAGTAGAAAAGAAGAATGGACAGAATAATTGGGAGTGAGCTGAACTAACACAGAAATAGAAGGAACTCTATCAAGAACAGGAAGGGCTGATCAATATTCTGGTCTTGTATAATAACCAGCGGACCCACATTTAACCTCTGATGGTCACACAAAATGACCAAGTAGAAAGAAGGCTCAACAATGTGCTGCAAATGACAAAACAGAAAGAGGGTCCAAAGAGGAGGGCTCATAAAGCAGACTGACTTCCTCATCTCCTAGGAGCCAAAACCTTTAGATAACCCACAAATTCTTATAATATACTAATAAGGAACACACACGTCTAATGATGCTAAAAAAAAGTAGCTCAGTGAATCATAATGTTAGGACGATGGCTATGTACTGGACCATGTGAAGCTGGAAGGATACCTTATTTCTGGGGAAGACATCTAGTTTCAAAAAATTAAAGCCTATATCCCCGATGAGGGCTGAAGACATAACAAGAAAGCCCTGATTATTAATAGACACTCAACCTAATGATCAGTGTGCAGGCTTGAAGCTCCTGAACTAAATAAGCAGGTCTCACACCCACCCAAGAGTTTTGAACTGGACAGCCAAATCTTGTAACTTCTACTGGTCTGAGGCCACATCTCTTTTTACTTTGGGTTAGTAAATGTATTGCTTACTGAAAGCCTAAGGAGGCAACCTCAGGAATAAATGAAAATGAGGATAAACATTGTGGTGAAAATCAAGATAAGGATAAAACTGTCTGCTTAATTGTTCTAGTGGTAAGTGTGTTGAGCACTTTTAGAACCCTGGTTAGTTTGTGTTTGGTCTGTTTTGAAAGATTTTTAATCTTTGTAAGGTAATCTGATCTGTTAAACTTGTGATTTTTTTTTTCTTAGATGGGGCCATGCTCTGTCACCCAGGCTGGAGTGCAGTGGTGTGATCTTGGCTTTGCAACCTCCACATCCCGGGTTCAAGTGATTCTCCTGCCTCAGCCTCCCAAGTAGCTGTGATTACAGGTGCCCGCCACCACACCTGGCTAATTTTGTATTTTTAGTAGAGATGGGGTTTCACCATGTTTACCAGGCTAGTCTTGAACTCCTGACCTCAAGTGATCCACCCACCTTGGCCTCCCAAAGTGCTGGGATTACAGGCGTGAGCCACTGTGCCCAGCCCTAAACTTGTGATTTTAATTGTTTAAGAGTGTTTATATGTACAAGTATTATTTACATGTTGGGGGAAAATTTCTTTTTAAAGTAAATTCCATAAGTAGTATGTTAAAATTTAGTATAATTGCTTATTTTTTAAAATGCTAGTCATTTGATTAATAATTAAGATTAATGAAGTATTATACAAGTGATCTCGTATACCCTTCCACACTCAAAAGGCCATTTCATGGAGAAGAATCTATCTTTGCTCATTCTAAAACTATGCAAAGTTGTAATCTTTACTTATTTTTTTAAGTATAACTTATTTTTATACATTTCATTCCCTTTTCCTAGGTAAAGTTTCTCGTAAATTAGCTTGAACTTCTTGTACATCAGTTTATGTACAAGGTAGCCTGGGATGGATCTTCCCCCTAATTCTATTTCCAATACTTCCCAGGTCAAAACTTTTTAAAACATAAATAGGGAAGGACATAGCAACGGCTTTTGTAGTTTCTTTTAGAAGGCAGAGCTGAGCAAACTTTTCAATGTATCAACATGAAAAGACATGGCTGGCCAGGTGCGGTGGCTTATGCCTGCAATCCCAGCACTTTGGGAGGCCGAGGCAGGTGGATTGCTTGAGACCAGGAGTTCAAGACCAGCCTGGCCAACATGGCAGAACTCCATCTCTACTAAAAATACACAAAAATTAGCCAGGTGTGAGGTGCATGCCTGGACATTCAAGGAAATGGCAAAGAGGGAATTAAATGCAAGTTTTTTCCAGGTAACTCCAGCAAACACTAACAAAGGGATGACTTGAGAAATCAATAATCTGGTTCTTCTTTGCCTGTAGAACCAAGTTGGTTCAAAAAAGGAGCCAAATATTTTACATTAAGAACAACTGGCATACTAAAATAATTATTTATATGTATTCTATTTCCAATACTTCCCAGGTCAAAACTGTGATCCCTGCTACTTGGGAGGCTGAGACACAAGAATTGCTTGAATCCAGGAGGCGGAGGTTGCAGTGAACCAAGATCATGCCACTGAACTCCAGCCTGGGTGACAGAGCAAGAGTCTGTCTCAAAAAAAAAAAAAAGAAAAGAAAAAGATATTGCTTAGAAAAGTAACTTGAGTCCTGTTGAGCCTAAGTAAAGGACAATAATGGAAGTTTCTAGTCTGCAAAATATGAAGATGCCCCTCAGAGACACAGCTGTGGGTGCCTCTCACAAGACAGATGTTCAGGAAAACTGGGCTGTTGCTCTGGAATTTTCAATGAGTTATTTTACTTGTTTTTGCCTCAGTTTACAGAAAATAAACTGGCAACAATATCTCCTTGTTATTGTGAGGATAAAATAAAAGGTGTGACATTTCTATTTTAAATGTATAAAATGCCGAAAAATTGGAGGCAACTGGAAGGTACAGTAGTGGATGTGAGGTAGTAAGGGGGAAAAAAGGATATGTAAATCACCTAAGATGAAATAGACATTCAGAAGGCCGTAACGTGAAGTGTGAGTGACACTGATTCGCTAAAAATCCTATATAGTGTCTTAAAACAGCAGCAGTAACAACAACAAAGTTTATTTGAGAGGAGGAATTCTGGAAAAAAGCTTCTTTCAAAAAAAAAAAAAGAGTCTTCTAGTGCTCAGACAGTTCGTTCCTCTGCAAAGGCGGGTTACTCTGTTGGGGTCCATTATAGTTCTGAGGATGAATAGGACAGGACAAGGAGATGGTTCCTGGCCCCTGTTCTCCTGCCACAGATCTGTCCCACCTCCCAGGCTCCATGCATACAGTGACAGAGATGGAAAGCCCAGAACCAGTCCCTTTAATGCACTTATTTGCAAAACAAGATGTCACTATGCAGCAGAGTGACAGTCCTTTCCCCTGGAACTGTCCCAGAGTTCTCCAAGCTGAAGCCAGGGCTACATTCACCATCTCAGACTCCTGCTGAGCTAAGTAACCACCCTCTCCTACCTTCTCTTCAGGAGCCCTGGCACCCTTGCTCTGGGGAGAGTTTGAAGAGCAACCTGAAAGTTCCCACAGTTTTTCCTCAAATCTGGGTTTCCATGAGCATGGGCCACCAGTCGGGAGAGCCACATGCCTGCCCTTGCCTGGCTCAAGACTGTCACTCTGTCAGATTCATATCGCTCTCTGACCCTTAGCCTTCCAGTCTGGATCTTGACCTTGAACTGGACTCTGTAGGAAGTTCTTAACATTAAAGGAAGTTATTTATCTCTTTTCAACTAACCCAAGCACTTTCTAGCACCTTTTAGCAGTTTAAGCTCTATGACTCCATTGGATAAAATGCTGGGGAGCAGGACATTGACACAGTCACAGAATATCACACACGGAATCCTCATTCATTCCCCCAGGGAAACAGCACCTGTAGAAGACAAATCTGGTAGACACTACTGTGACAGGTGATTTTATATGTCAGCTTGACTAGGCCACAGGATGTGTAGACATTTGTCAAATTTTTTTTTATATGTCTGTGAGGATGTTTCTGGATGAGATTAACATTGAATCAGTAGACTGAGTAAAGAAGACCGCCCTCCCCAGTGGGGGTGTCCCTCATCCAACCTGTGGAAGCCCTACATAGAACAAAAAGGCTGAACCTCCCCCAAAATACGGTGATCTCAAGCTGCCTGACTTCTGGTGCTGGAACATTGTTCTTTTTCTGCCTTCCGACTCAAACTGAAAATCAGCTCATCTTGTATCCTGAGTCTGCTGGCTTCCAGACTGAACTATACATTGACTCTCCCAGGTTTCCAGCTTGCAACTGCTGGTCTTGGGACTTCTCAGCCTCCATAATCATGCATTAGCCAATTTCTATATAGATCTAGAAATTCATATATATATATGTGTGTGTGTGTGTGTATGTGTGTGTGTGTGTGTACGCATATATATACAGTCATGAATCACTGAGCAGTGGGCATACCTTCTGAGAAATGTGTCATTAGGCACTGTTATCATTGTGTGAACATCATAGTGTACTTACACACACCTAGACGGTATAGCCTACAACACACCTAGGCTATATAGTATAACTTGTTGCTGGTAGATTACAAACCTGTACAACCTGTTACTGTACTGAATACTGTAGGCAATTGTAAAACAATGGTAAGTATTTGTGTATCTAAACATAGCTAACCATAGAAAAGGTACAGTAAAAATACTGTATAAGAGATAAAACATGGTGTGCCTGTATAGGTTGCTTACCATAAATAAAGCTTGCAGGTTGGAAGTTACTCTGGGTGAGTCAGTGAGTAAATGATGAGTGAATGTGAGGCCCTTGGACATCACTGTACCCTACTGTAGACTTTATAAACACTGTACACTTAGGTTACCCTAAATCTATTTTAAAATTGTTTTCTTTCTTCAATAATAAATTACCCTTAGCTTACTGTAACATTTTTACTTGACAAACCTTTTAATTTTTAAAATTTTCTGACTGTTATAATAATACTTAGCCTGAAATACAAATGAATTGTCTAAGTGTACAAAAATATTTTCTCTCTTTATTTTTATTTTATGAGCTCATTTCTATTTTTAATTCTTTTAACTTTTCAAAATTTTTTATCAAAAACTAAGACTCAAACACACATTAGCCTAGGCCTACAGAGGGTCAGGATCATCAACATCACTGTCTTTCCCCTCCATATCTTCTCCCACTGGAAGGTCTTCAGGGGCAATAACATGCAAGAACTGTCATCTGTGATAACAATGCCTTCTTTTGGAATACCCCCTGAAGGACACACCTGATGCTGTTTTACAGTTAATTTTTTTATATTAGTAGAAGGAGTACACTACAAAATAATGATCGAAAGTATAGTAAATACATAAGCCGGTAACATAGTCATTTATTTTCATTATCAAGGACTATTTACTATACACGATTGTATGTGCTAGATTTTTATATGACTGTCAGCATAGTAGGTTTGTTTGCACCAGAATCACCACAGACACAAGAGTAATGCATTGAGTTATGATGCTACAATGGCAGTAACAAGTCGGCTGATAGGAATTTCTCAGCTCCATAATAATTGTGCAAGACTGCCATCATATATTCACTCTACTGTTGACCAAAACCTCATTATACAGCATATGACTGTCTATATATAAACAAAGAACCATATTTTTGAGGAATTTTAATTTTTTATTTAAGAGTAAAGTGTAATAAGGGTAAAGTGTCTGTGATTTGTTTAAATTCTTCAGAAAAAAAGGAAGAAAAACAGGATAGAAAAAACAATACAGCAGAATCTTGCTAAATGAGTGATGCCAATGTCGGCAAGTTGGGTGATGGATACATTGGGGTTCACTGCAAACTTTATATTTGTGTATGTTTGAAAGCTTTTATAATAAAAATTAAATACAGTATATATTAAATATGTATGCCACTTAGCACTTAATCAAAATTTTTTATCTCGCCTTGTTAGATTTTATTATTTTATCTTGAACAAGTAGCATCAACATAGCCTGGGCAATATAGTCAGACCTCGTCTCTACAAAAAATTTTAAAAATCAGCTGAGCAGGCTGGGCGCGATGGCTCACGCCTGTAATCCCAGAACTTTTGGGGCCGAGGCGGGCTAATCACCTGAGGTCAGGAGTTCGAGACCAGCCTGGCCAACGTGGAGAAACCCCGTCTCTACTAAAAATACAAAAAAATAGCCGGGCATGGTGGCGCATGCCTGTAATTCCAGCTACTTGGGAGGCTGAGGCAGGAGAATCGCTTGAATCTGTGAGGCGGAGGTTGTGGTGAGCCGAGATCGGGCCATTGCGCTCCAGCCTGGGCAACAAGAGCAAAACTCCATCTCAAAAAAAAAAAAAAAAAAACAGCTAAGCATAGTGGTGGACCACACGTAGTTCCACCTACTCAGAAGGCTGGGGTGGGAGGATTGCTTGAACCTGGGAAGTGAAAGTTGCAGTGAGCCAAGATCACGCCACTGAACTCTAGCCTGGGTGACAGACAAGACCCTGTCCCCCCCCACCAAAAAAAAACTCAATATAAGAAGTATTGCTGGTGAACATATAGTGCCCTGCACCTAGAAAAATGAAGCTACTTTCAAGAGATTAGTAGGAGAAGGGATCATTGATGATCCCTTGAAGCCAGGGTCTTAATGAAATTTGGAATGGGAAGCAGCTCAGTTATTAAAAAAAAAAAAAAAAAGATACCCTTGCTGGCACAAGGACGAAGGGTAAGTTATCACTTCCCTTTTTCTAGTGTTAAGTAAATTACATTTAACAAAGATGACTCTTGTCAATTTTGTATCACTTTGACTCTTACGTACTTATGCAGTAAGTTTCTTAGCAGCACTGCTTGCTATAACTTAAACTAGAGAGTTAATAGCAGAAATGCAGCTGTATCTGAAATATGCTACAACTACTCCTCTCAGGAAGGATTTGGAGGAGTAACTTTTAAATGCTTGGCTCAACATCTTAAAGACAAGTTTCTGTTAAGGTGAGAAGACAACAGTATAGAATGAAAAGCTTACACAGCTGGATTCTAAGGCTGACTCCCCAATTAACTAATTATGTGACTTTAAACCAATCACTTACTTTCTCCAACTCTCTCCAGGGTTCTTTGTTTTTAATGAAATGGGCTGGTGGGTGAATTGGACTCTTTCAAGGAGCTCTCCCAGGACAAAGACATGGTCATGCATATTCACCAGACCATATCCAGCATCTAGCACAGCTCCTCAAACATAAGAGGATTCCAATTCGTATTTTAAGAGAACAAAAAAAACCAGAATATCAAATAATTGGTTACATCCAAAAACCTGTCAATCCGGAAAATTTCTCACATTCGTCTACCTCCTTGACCTGGATCTTTTCAGGTTTATCACGTTTTCCCCCAAGAGAGCCTCCAGAAGTGAAGACGGCGTATAATGCAATATGACCACTAGATGGCAGCACGAACCCACCTCAGAATTATCCCTAAAGCGGCCACAGACCCTAGACCAGCTGTTTCAACTGAGCCTGCACAACTGAGCAGACTGTGAATAGTTAAGACTGCCTTGGCTGGTGTCTTTCCCTATACCCTTCCTTTTGTTTTAATTATAAGAAATCTATATGAGTTTCACTATTGATAGGAACATAAATGATCTGTTGTTTCAGCCCTAGGATATTGATATTGCCTTTATATAAATTGTTGATATTTTGTTCATCATGGATTTCCTTTCATTAATTTTGATTAATGCAAATTTTAAGTTACTTTCACCTTAGTCCTGAAAAAACAAGACTGCTTCCAGGGACCATCAAAATAATCTTACAGAGAGACTAGGTAGTATGCATCTGTGGGAGATGCATCTGTGCACACTGGAGACCTCCAGTATATACAGCAGGAGCTCAGTAACAATGTTTTTCAGTGAACCAGGACAAGGATATTCAGTGTATGGGTACTTAAAAAAATGAATGCATGCTCAAAAGGTGAGACCTTCCTTTCCTACTACATGTTTTTTTTCTTTCTTTCTTTTTTTTTTTTTTTTCACTAATTCATGGTCTTCTTCATCACCTCTCTCCTCCTCCTTCCAGAGCTCCATCTGCTTCCCTGGGTACTACATTGTGAGACACTTTGCTCCCTTCCTTTTTATTTATTTATTTTTATTCATTGATTGATTGACTGATTGAGACACGGTCTTGCTCTGTTGCCAGGCTGGAGTGCAGTGGTGTGATCACAGCTCACTGCACCCTTGACCTCCTGGGCTCAAGGGATCCTCCTGCCTCAGCCCCGAGTAGCTGGGACTAAAGGCACCCACCACCACACCCAGCTAATTTTTGTTTTTTTGGTTTATTTGTAGAGATGGGGTCTTGCCATGTTAGCCAGGCTGGTCTCAAACTCCTGGGCTACAGTGATTCCCCACCTAAGCCCCCCAAAGTGTTGGGATTACGGGCACGAGCCACTGCACCCGGCCACCCTGCCCCTTTTAAAAATCTCCTTTCTATTCTCTCTCTGCTGGCCCACCTTACCCAGAGAAGTTTTCTTTAGTTCCATCTCCTGTTCTATTTCATTTTTTCTTAGATCCCAGAGGAATTAAGAAGATGGGGTGGCTGGGAAGGGAAATGGGGAGAATCTCAGAGAATGGAAGGATCAGAGAGCTGGAAGCCAAATCTAGACTCTAAGCTCCTGGGGCACAGAACATCCCCACCAGACTTAGCACAGTGCCTTGCACAAAACAGGTGTACAATAAATATCCATTTGTATGGATGATTACTTGTGTTAATTAGCAATGTGCTCATACAAATAATGAAAAGTCATACAGTAATTTTAAACAATGTCCTATATACAACTATTTCAAGGACTCATGCAAGTGACAACATCCATTAACACTGTAGCTAATTACCTTTGTGCCTCTCCTCTCCTCCCAGTAGCTTCAAGTGCTCAACTCTTAAAAATCCTGAAAGTCAAAGGGCAAGCAGATTCCAGGCTCCCCTTGAACTTTCCCTGAGGCCCAGACAACATTAAGGCCATGGGCACTGCCAAACTCTTTTTTACTGGCATTGGTAAAGCATTGACTGTGGGTGAGGTCCAGGACCCAGGGCTGTATTTTTCACAGATGCATCCTGTGCTTGGTATCTTTACTTTGCACCCCCAGATTCACTCCGCTGACATCTCTGCCTGCTTTCTGGCCTGGAGAGCCCCATCATGAGAACCCTCAAGCCCTCTGGATTCTGGCTGGGTGTAGCCAATAGGAAGTTTTGGTATCACAGGGAGGTTATGACCCTTTGCTCCCTTGCTGCAAGGTTACCTGCAGATGACACTGCCTCTAGAAAGAAGATCACCCCTGCTCAAAGGCAGCAGTCTACAGCCCTGCCTCCTCCCTCCATTCCTAGCAAGGAAAGTTGGTACTACTAGCACTGCTGGTACTATCGCTGTGGTCCTCCGACACAGGCACATGGGTCCTGACCAATCTTTACTGAGCTCTCCACTTGTAGAACACACTGTGTACTCAGAACTCAGGTTTCCCATTCAGATAGACCCAAGCCAGCTTCCAGGGTCTGTTCAAGTCCAATCCTCAGTTCCGTCTCAGGGTGGGTGGGAACTGTGACCCCAGACCCAAGGGCCAGTGGGGCAGTTATTTGTGGAACTGTGAGTGGAGTTTGGACACATGGCCTAGGGTGTCTGGCCATGAGCTTGTAAAGGTGTTTGCAGAACTGAGGGCAACATGTCTATCCCTCACCTCCATGTTCTGGTGGTATGGTCTGTAACTTAGAGAATGTGATAATTCTATGTGCAGACCTGGCCTTCAAAGTCATTACATAAGTGCCCCATTTGTTGAGGTAGAGAACAGAACAGATTTTATTCAACAATGTGGTTGCTTGAGTTATAACTTTGAAATATTCTGACTCGGAGCACATGGGCCTCCATCTGTACTCTTGCCCTGGGCTCTGCAGCTGTCAGGGGAGCACCAACTACTGGCTCCAGCGACTGCACGAGTCTTTGTCGCTCCCCCACACTCGCACAGTGTGAACAGCCCCTGCTGTGCAAACTCTCTCGGAATCATCTCAGTTTGAGGGTACCCTCTGTTTTCTATTGGTGCCGTTGATTGATAGATATCACCAAATCCTAACGGTACCTGGCATACAGGTTCTCTATTTTAAAGAAAGTATTATTGACTGGAATAAATGGAAAAGGGGGAGAGAAGGAAACCTTCATATAAAACTAACTCAAACTAAACACCGAGGGGCAATCAAATTACCTGCAGCAATGGGGCTAGATCCATGTAGTGCTCTTAGGGACATGTGTTCCTGTAAGATACAGGCCTTCCAAGGTCATGGAGGAGAGATGTCCAGCCCCTTGGGTGGGATGCCTGGAAAAGCCACACTGGGCCAATGCACTGGAAGGGGCATGGGCCACAGGGGGCTACATTTTGTTCTTTTCCAAAGATTATTAAAATTCAGTATTGAACTGTTTATGTAATAACATGCCAAAGATGCCATGACACTTCCAGTGAAGCTGCTACTTTTCAAGTGGGATGACCTTGACTGGATCCTTCTGATTAAGTTGTCCTGGTCCCTGGACCTTTCCAGAAACTTCCATGGCTATTTCCCTGGTTTCCAATGTCTATGCTTCCCTCAACAACATTATCTTTATGTATTGCTTTCTCCCACCTCTGTTAAGTATTAGTTTTAAATATTGAGAGCCAGCATGTCCCACAAACTACTGTGGTGTTAATCTGTCATGAGATAAGACTTTTTAAATTTTTTTTTAAACTATTGTGGTCGCTGGGGAAACAATATGGAGAAAGATAGCAGCAATCCTGCCCTTATGGAAGTTAAGTTCCAGTGGGAGAGACAGATAACATTCTGATAACCACCCATCCATGTAACTGGCATGTATTGATAACTTTCAATGTGCCAGACACTGCTCTAAGCCCTGAGGATACAGCCCTAAATGAAATACACACACACACACACACACACACACACACCCTGCCCTACTGGGCTTATATACTAGGAGGGGAGATAGATGATAAAGTTGAGAAGCCAAGTACATAGTATGAGATTTACACTTTGGGGAGTTTCCCTAGAAGATAGAACCTGAGGCAACAGCTTATGGCTAAAACTTCTTTGAGAGTAAAATTCCAGAGAAGCAGGAAAGAGAAAAGATGAGGCACAGAAAGAGTTGTCAAACTGGCTATAGCTTCCTTAAAAGCAGTGCTCAGTCCAGCTGGGCCTGAACATGGAATGGGGGATTGGAAGTGGCTCTCGCAGAGGGCCCACCTGCCCAAGGCAGGGACGCCACGTTGCCGCCCCACCAGGATGGTGACAGAGCTCAAGAAGCCTACTTTCAGGCAAGGGCAAGCCCTCCCCTCTATGCCCACCAGAATGTGGTGGCTGCTGGGTGATCTTCCCGGAGCATCATTGAGCAGAGAAGCACTGCCCAGCGAATCCAGGAAGGGGCATGGACTGCGTCCACGAGAGTAGTTAAAAAGTGTGGCCTGTGATGAGGAGACTGAGTGGCAGGGGGGGTCTAGGAATCGTGAAGGCAATGGAAATTTGCAACTTTAACAGAGTGATCAGGCAAGACCCTCTGAGTAGGGGATGAACATTGAAACACTAGGGAGGAAGCCCAGAGGGAAGCACACTCTAGACAGAGAGAGAGGCAGCAAGACTGGAGGACAGCATGGAGGCAGTGAATCTGGAGAGGACAGGCTGCGTAGGGCAAGGGGTCAGGGAGTAAAGGCGGCTGCCAGGGAAGCCACACTGGGACGGGCCTGTGACTGAGCTGTGAGGGAGGTGGCAGGCCCTCAGATGACCAGCCTGGAGGACAGACTGATCCTGCACCGAAAGGGGGGCAGGAAGGTTATGAGGCCATGGCAGGAACCCGGGCAAAAGGCTCTGATGAGGTGCACCAGTCTAAAAACGGCAGAAGGCCGAGAGGCAGACAGGCCTCAGATAGACTATGAGGGCAAAACCAATGGGATTCCGGGAAAATGCATGTGGGGTAGGAGAGAGAGGGTGCAGACAAGGAAGACTCCAATGATTCTGGCTGACACAGCAGAGAGGCTGGAGCTTCCAGTAACCTTGACAGAGAAAGCCTGGGAGGGGCAGGTTAGAGGGAACAGAAGTTCCACTTTCGGGCATCCCAGTGGAGACGTGAGGGGGTTGTTTGTAAATTTGATCTGGAGTTCAGGGGAGAGGTTCGTGCTGGAAGTATGACTTTTGGACCTGTTAGGAGAAAGTAGCCATTAAAGCCATGAAACAAGTAAGGTAATTGCAGATAATAAGAAGTCCGATGAGGAAAAGCAAACAGGATCATGGAAGAGAAGGCACAGCAGAGAGAAAGCCAGCCAGGTAGGACAGTCAGAAGGCCTCTCTAAACAGGGGAATGGTCAGCTGAATCTTGAACAGTGGTAAACACGTCCACCGTCCCTTATACACAACCCCTAGGGAAAGGTGAGTTTCAGAATTGGAATTTTGGGATTTTAGACACAGAACACAGGTTGTGTTCATATACAACATACCAGGTTGTATATGACACCCACAGCAGGATCTGGGACAGCAACTCATGATCAGTCTTATAAATACTGCCACAGAAAACATGTATTTATCACATGAAGTGGGATGAAACACGCCAATGGCCTCATCAGTACAGGTCACATTTTATGGCTACAGGAGTTTGCAAGAAACTTACTTTTTTCACTTTTTTTTGTAATCTGACATAATTTACTCAGCTATATTTTTTTTTACTTTTCAATGCAAGGCACTGTTTTAAGTGCTCACACACATTAATTCATTTACTCTTCATTACAATCCTAGGAGGCAGGGGCGCTGTCACTATCACCACGCTACAAATGAGGAAACGGAGGCACAGAGGGTTTTCTTGCATTCCCATAACAGCAGAGCCCAGCTTGTCCAGCTCCCAGGTCAGCCCTCTTAATCAGCCTGCCACAAGCACATACAAAGGTCCTGAAGTGGGAGTAAGTACAGAGTGTTTGTGGACCCAGAGGCTGGAGGTGGTGAATGGCAGAAGTTGGACAGGATGAGACAGAAAAGCCTGGCAGGGCCTGATCCTATGAGTTCTTGTAGACTCCTCTGTAGCGCTGAGTGCCCTGAGTACAGCATCTGTTTCTTCTAAATGTTTCTGTTTGTTTGCTTTTGAACAAATTAATCTGATCCGTGTCCTCATAAATCCATGCCGGCTGCTCTACAGGGAGAGACCGAGGAGGGTATCATGCAACCGGGCAGTCAGGTCACACCCTAAATCCCACATTCTTATGTCTACCACCCAGCAAAACCTAGTAACATATAGAATTATTGAAAATGAAGGAAATTTAAAAATGGGAATTTGCATGTCTTCTTGGCCCCAAATTGGACACATTTAATTCATTTACTACTTTTTAAAAATTTATTTATTTTGAGACAGGTCTCACTCTGTTGCCCAGACTGGAGTGCAGTGGTGTGATCTCTGCTCACTGCAGCCTCATCTCCTGGGCTCAAGCGATTCTTCCACCTTAGCCTCCCAAGTAGCTATAACTGCAAGCATGGGCCACCATGCTCGGCTAAATTTGGTATTTTTTACCGAGACCGGGGTCTCATCATATTGCCCAGGCTGGTTTCGAACTCCTGAAGCTCAAGCAATCCTCCCACCTCAGCCTCCTAAAGTGCTGGGATTACAGGTGTGAGCCATCGCACCCGGTATGGACACATGTAATTAAAAAGCAAAATCAGCCCAGGCACGGTGGCTCATACCTATAATTCCAGAGCTTTGGAAGGCCAAGGTGGGAGGATTGCTTGAGTCCAGGAGTTCAAGTCCAGCCTGGGTAACACAGAGAGACCCTCATCTCTACAAAACCTTTCGGTTAGCCGAGTGTGGTGGCACATGCCTGTGGTCCCAACTATTCAGGAGGCTGAGCTGGGAGGATCACTTGAGCCCAGGAAGAAAGACAAGGCAGCAGCGGGCCATGATGGAGCCAGTGCGTTCCAGCCTGGCTACAGAGCAAGATTCTGTATTAAAAAAGAAAAAAGAAAAAGAAAGAAAGAAAAAGAGAGAGAGAGAGAGAAGAAAAGAAAAGAAAAAGAAAAATTTCCCCCAAACTTCACTTGCCATCTACAGTTATATCCCATATAAATCTTCTCTATTTCCTCACATTAACGTGTCAGTATTTTTTTTTCTTAACCTTACCTACCATCTTTACATTGTTTTGTGTCTTTTAAGGTTTTTCCTAGCCAGTTATTTCTAGTAAATATTCCCTTGGAGCCCCTTGATGTCTGTCTCACTTTATCACAATGATCAGAATGGGCCCCATGAGCGTGCTCCAGGCTGCTAAACCCCATGGAGGGTCATGTTGTTCCTGTGTCGGCCCATAGCCTTCAACAGACTTTGGGAATATTCTGCCTGGCAAACTCATTTGTGGGCTCCTGAGGAAAATTTTGTTTGATACATCATTGCCATGTAGGGTTGAGATCATTAAATATCTAAATGTGCAATCAAGATCAAGGCATTTATAAACTGGCACATAACAATATTTCTTATCACAGCCTTGAAAATACTTCTCCCAAAACTAGAATCAAACACATATTTGCTAATGCCACTCTTTCCTTTCCTCAGAGCTTTACTGTCCAATACAGTGGCCACAAGCCACATGCAGCTGCTAAGCACTTGAAATGTGTCTTTTCCAAATTGAAATGTGCTGTAAGTGCAAAACACACACCAATTTAAAAACTTAGTGCCAAAAAAACAAAAATACTGTAATATGTCTCATTCATAATGTTTATATTGATCCCAATTAACATAACATTTGGGGTATATTGGGTTAAATAAATTTGTTATTTAAAATGAATAGGTTTCATTTTACTTTTTATTGTGGCTGCAAACCATAAGAAGAGAGGTAGAGAGAGAGAGAAAGAGAGAGAAGGGAGGGAAGAAAAGGAGGGAGGGGAAAGAGAAAGAGACAGGAAGGGGAAAATAGAAGGAAAAACTATATTTTTCTTAATATCATTATCTATTTTATCTGGTATGTCCTGATTCCAGGTTTCCAGGACTCAGTGGTATTCCTATAGTTCAAAATATCCCAATACTCATAATCTTAGTCTAAAAGCCACTTTTATCTTTGCAAGAAGAAATCAGCTACTTGTTTCCTTTGATCAACTATGTGTTTCCTTTGATCTCCCTGAGGAGTCTTTCCCTGGCCGCATCTCATGCAGGTGGAGCCTCCTCTCTTCCCAAATGTTACCAAAATGAATGAGAAACCTACCTAGCCCACTGGGGCTTTTAAGACTTTTATCTTAAACAGTGCAGGTAAAATGCCTTGAGCCTGCACCTAGCTGGTGTCTGGTTCATTAAAAAATAAGAAGAAGGGCCAGGGGCAGTGGCTCACGCCTGTAATCCCAGCACTTTGGGAGGCCAAGGCAGGCAGATCACGAGATCAGGAAATCGAGACCATCCTGGCTAACACGGTGAAACCCCGTCTCTACTAAAAAATACAAAAAATTAGCTGGGCATGGTGGCGGGTGCCTGTAGTCCCAGCTACTCGGGAGGCTGAGGCAGGAGAATGGCGTGAACCGGGAGGTGGAGCTTGCAGTGAGCCAAGATTGCGCCACTGCACTCCAGCCTGGGTGACAGAGCAAGACTCTGTCTCAAAAAAAAAAAAAAAAAAAAAAAGAAGATGGAATTAATCATTTTTTTCTTGCAATGTCTTATAAACTTATGGAAAAAAAAGAAAACATAAGTTTTTCTCCTTGGAATGTCTGTTTTTGAATATCATTAAGGGTGAGCCTTATTTTCCTGTGTTGCTAAATATTATAATCTGCCTAAACATTATTTTATATCTTTATGTGACTGTTTTATAAAGTTGGCCTCAGTTAAATTGTTAAAATATTGCAAATGCACCTTCTCTAACAACACCCTTGGAAAAGAAATGAGTTACAGCATAAAAGGATATTTTAGAAAATTCTAGTGATTTGATGTGATCATTTGTAAATCAAGTATATTATCAAGTTAATCTGAAGCACACATTGGGCCTTCCTCATCTTCCTTTGGAGTTTGGAAGTCATTTTATTATACACATCAGAGGACAAACATTGGGGATCTGAATCAGCTCTGGACAAACGTCTCTTCCTTTCAGGGTATTAACTCTAAGAGGAGGATTAATTTGGACAACATCCTTGGAGAATGCATTTTCCAGTTCTGCAATATCAAAAAGTAAATATTTACCTGATTGTATGCTTTAAATTACTTTTTTCTCAGCTGTGAAAGTGTCCTAATTTTTTGTTTTTACTTTCTAACTCTAGAGAGCACTTAAAAAGTCAGGGCTTAGGGTTTTAAATGATTGTCAAGTTGTCATAATACTAAGCCACAGGATGACTTAATTGTCTCTGCTCTTCGGCTTCAACCACTGATTGTCCGGAATTCAGACCACAAAAGTGGCTCAGACTTTGTCCTCCAAAGCATATAATGAGTGTCATGCATTCTCTGGGCCACAGCCTTGTTGGTCAGGTCTTAGAGCATGGACTTAACATATCCTATCATTCTTTTATGTCCAGGGATCAACCCTCACATAATAAATTGTGGATGTTTGGCTTCTAAATAAACAAATGGAGGAAATTTTATGAATATCAGAGGACATTTCTTTTATTCTTATGGATCCCAGGGCAGCAGAGCTCAGCGTGACTGCCAGCCTCCTGGCCAGGGGGGATCCCTGAATCCTACCCAGGACCTGTCCTTTCCTCCACCCCACACATAGAAATGGAACAAATGCCTCTGAAGCCAAGGAACTAATGCAATGTGTGTCCATAGAGAGAAAAGGCAAGGGGTCGGGAAGATTGGGGGAGAGAACAGATGTTTCCTCTAGTAGCAAAAATTACTCCATTCAGCTTCCACATATGCCCTCTAGAGCCTGGTCCACTGTAGAAACATACTAAACCTTGAAAAGACTTTGTCTCACCACACATAGAAGTGCACCTACTGCTTGGACCTGTTTTGGATAAAGAATTAAGTTCAGAGAAGGAAAAGGCCAGCCCGGCGGGCCATTTTCCATCCATGGTAGCCTACTGGTTGCCTCCCCAATATCCATCTCCTCTTTGTTCTTGGTCACAGAAACCTGGACCAAGTGCTCAGCAGAGTGTTCCACTGTCCCCTCTGCACATCCAGTTAGACACAACTGTCTATGCGGAACCAAACAAAAGTCTCAATCCATGCATTGAAGTGCTGACAGAGAGATTTCAGTACAGCCTTGCAGATTAAGTTGTCCTATTTCCAAAAATCCAATAAAAAGACCATGTATTAGTGAGACTCTCCAAAGAAATAGAATCAATAGGATGTGTACAGATACAGAGCAGTTATGGGAAGGACTTGGCTCACATGATTATGGAAGCTGGCAAGTCCAAAATCTGGAGGGTGGGTGAGTAGGCTAAAGACCCAGAGAAGAGCTGTGGTTGCAACTTGAGTCTGAAAGCAGCCTGCTGGCCAAATTCCCTCTTCCTCAGGGAGGTCTGTCTTTCTTTGTCTCAAGGCCTCTAATTGATTGGATGAGGCCCACCTATGTTATAGAGGGTGATCTGCTCTTCTCCAAGTCTACTGATTTAAATGTTCATCTCATCTTAAAAGTGCATTCACAGTAACATCTAAAATAGTTTTTGACCAAATATCTGGCTACCATGGCATAGCCAAGTTGACACATAAAATTAACTGTCACAAACCACCAAACAGAAATGCCTATGAAAAAATGTTAGGAAACTTATGCCTACACTAGGATACACAGTGTCCAATCAGGATTAGGAGCTGTGTGGGGCTGCTGTGGGCTTCCTGGTCCTCCCCACTGCTGTCCGGCAAGGGGCACCCGTCTCCTGCGGTTGCTGACAGTTGTCCAATTCTGAGTGTCTGCGCTGAGACTGCCAAGGCTGGGGTCTCGGTATGGGGGAAAAAATGAACCTCATCACTCACCTCACCCAAGAGTGAAAGCAATTAACTGGAAATGGATCATGCACCTGAAAGAAAAGCTAAAACTATAGAACTCTTAGAAGAAAACATTTAGAAGATACTATTCTTAATCGTTAAAAACAGGGAGTGCTTAATAATATAATGCTGGATACATACATGTGCATGTGGTAAATTCTAAAGAAATGCATGGAAATAATTATGTGGTAAAACTCTAAAGAAATGGACAGGGATAAAGTCAGGACAGTGGTTAATTCTGTGGGCTAGGAAGTAACATTCAGGGGAGGTTCTCAGGGAAATTTAAGGTTCTGGTAACATCACTAGCCAAGCAGTGCACCCTCCTCAGAGACCTAGATTTTATCTCTGTGGGCTCCTCCCCTAAGCTTCCAAGTTTTAGTAATTCTAGCATCTTCCCTTTGTTCTCCTAGCTCCCAGAGTGGTAGCTGCTCCCTGCAGTTGCGACCTCTATGACACCTCTAGTGCTTTCCCTTCACCCTCCCCCTACCTAGTTAACAACTGCAGAAGTACTTAGCAATTCTTTATATTAAATTCACTTTGTTCAAATAACTAGTATGGCTTCAGTCAGCTGATTGGACCCTGGCTGATAAAATATTACTTAAATTGGTTTGGAATATCCTGTGAGTGTTCATTTCATTAATATTCTTCATCTTGCTATATTAAAATAACAAATATTCTTTTCCATCAAATATTTCATCATTTCCAAAATGAAATGATTTATACATCAGATCACATGACTCCCCTGGTTAGAACCCTCCAGTGCCTTCCCACTGTGCTGGGAAAATCTCCAAGCCTCCAGCCTGGGCTGAAAGGCTCTCTACCATTAACACCCTCACCAAGATCCCCGTGGTAGAGTGCGATCACAACAAAGTTTCATCACATTTTAGAAGCCGTTAGACCAATATTCTTTGATCTGAGAATGTTCTGTTCTCCTCCTACTCTCCCTCCCATATGCCCACTCCTAATTCAGTGAGAAGTGCCTGCCGGAATAAGGAGCATAAACCACTCCAGGAGTTGTTGGCAAGTGTCACCTGCCTGCTTCTCAGACAGGCAGCATAGAAAAACCCCGATGATCAGAATACACACCAAATTTTCATGGCAATAGCTACCACCCTCCCATTCTAGGAAGAAGTCTGCAGGGAAAACAGACCTGCAGTTTCAGAGGAAATCCATGCCAACTGCCTATACAAACCAACATAAGTTGGTTACATTTATACATGAACAGTATGGGCTGATGTTTATTTATCTGAGATAGGGTCTCTTTCTGTCACCTAGCCTGGAATGCAGTGGTGTTATCACAGCACACTGCAGCCTCAAACTCCTGGGCTCAAGTGATCCTCCTGCCTCAGCATCCCAAGTAGCTGGGACCACAGGTGCACAACACCATGCCCAGCAAACTTTTTTTTTTTTGTAGAGATGAGGTCTGACTATGTTGCCCAGGCTAGTCTCAGACTTCTGCGCTTAAGCGATCCTCCCACCTCGGTCTCCCAAAGTGCTGGGATTTCAGCTGTGAGCTACCATGCCCTGCCTGTATATATGCTTCATTACATAGTATAATATCTATCACTGATACATACATATATACATATACACATATGTATATGTATGTATGTATATGTATACATATCAGGTTTTTGAAGAAAACCAACATCATAAAAGAACAGGAAGCAAATTGTATTATTGTTTGCAATTTTTTACTTCCCCTTCTTCTGATGGGATTATATAACTCTATTGATTGTCTATTCTTCTATCTGTAAGTTATGGAGCCTCCTGTGGAAGAAGCGTACTTCCTATCCTCTTGATATTGGATTTACCTTAAGACTTGCTTTGGCAATAGCATGTGAGCAGATATGACGGACCCCGTATCCAAGCAAAACTATTTTTTTTTTTTTTTTTGAGACAGAGTCTCACTCTGTCACCCAGGCTGGAGTGCAGTGGCACATCACAGCTCACTGCAGCTTCTACCTCCCAGGCTCAGGTGATCCTCCCTCCTCAGCCTCCTGAGTAGCTGGGACTACAGGCACACACTACCATACCCAAGTAATTTTTTGTATGTTTTGTAGAGACAGGGTTTTGCCATGTTGCCCTGGCTGGTACAAAACTCCTGGACTCAAGCAATCTGCCTGCCTTAGTCTCCCAAAGTGTTGGGGTAACAGGTATGAATCAGCAAAACTTTTAAGAGCCTTTGTGTGTTTCTATCAGTCCTCCTGCTCTTTTCCTTCTTCCTCAAGAAAGGCATAGCCCATTTTAAGCCCCCTTATTTAGCCTCTTGGGATGAAAAGATACAGGGAGCAGGAGTGGAACTGGTACTGACTTTCAGCCAACCTAAACAATAAACAAGAAATACACCTTTGTTCTTATGAGCCATGGTGGTTTCTGGGATCACTTTTTACCACAGGACAGCGACAAATACAAGGAAGAAGATTAATAAGCAGCATAAGGAAAACTGGAAGGAACAGAAATAACGAGGAAAATGGAAAAAAGCCCAAATGTATAAGGAGTAGCCTCAGGATGTTTTGAGAAGATATTGCATCCATAAGCAGATTAGACTGTGATGAAAATGAGTAATCAAACATTTTTAAAGAGTACATAAAATTTAAAATCTTACCTGAAATAAAAATAGAATGGCCGGACTGTACAATAAAATCGGCACAGTAAAGACCAGGTGATCTAGAATGAGGCTTCTCAGCTTCAGGGTGTGTACTAGTCCCGGGGGTCTTGTTAAAATGCAAATTCTGATTTCATACATCTCAAATGGGGCCTGAGAAAATGCATTTCTAACATGCTCTCAGGTGATTCTGATGCTGTTCATCAAAGATTCAGAATTTGAGAACCACTGTTTTAGATTCTTGCCACTCAAAGTATGTAGTAGCTTCCACATCACCTGGGAGCTTGTTAGACATGTGATACTGATCCTCAGACATGCTTTGAGTAGCAAGGATATAGAGGCATGTCTCTCAAATTGTCGGCCCCATCCCATTAGCCTCAGAATCACCAGATAATTTGTCACAAATGCAATTTCTTGGACCCCACTCTAGAACTGCTGAGTCAGAGCCCAGCAATTTATTTTGTAACATGTCTCCAAGATGATTCAAATGCACAATACAGTTTGAGAAACACTGAGTTAGAAACAGTAAAAGGCATCTTTTACAAAAAACATATATGACTAAAAAAACAAAAAGAAAATGTGAGAAAAAAAGTAAAACAACAGATGCTAGACCGTCTGTCAAAAGAAGTCATAGAAGAAGAGAATAGGTACAGTGGAGGTGAGAAGGGAGAAGTTTCTCATAAAACACCAAGCAGGATGAATAAAGTGGGCACACATCTACATACCAGCATATAAATGTGCAAAGGGATAGTTCTAAAATCACCCATATAGAAAACATTTCTTGTTCAATGAATCCCAGGCAATTCACTAACTCTTTTAATTTATGAACTCTATAACTTGAAGCTGGTACTTCTAGCCTCCTACCCAAGATGAGTAACATGGAATTAAAATAAGTAAAGATTAAAACCTCTCAATGTTCCTCCCACCTACTCTTTAAATTACTTTTAAAACTTGTTTGGCAAATTATTTGGTGTTTTTTAGATTTATTCAGGAACACTGGAATAAAACAGGCGTGATGTCAGATAAAAGTTAGAGCTTACATATATTTTTCTTGATGAGGTAAAATTGCTTAAATTATATGATATTTGGGTTTTTTTACCTTTTAAATTTATCTATTATACCAGTTTTTTAAAAATACAAGTAATTTTAATTGCCAGTTGTTAGAGAGAAGCCAATCTAGCTACAATTTCTTTAGCAATTTTGAGTCTAGCAACATAAATATTAAACTATGTATTTACTCTTAAATGCATATATATTACATTTTAAAAGATACAAGATTTTAGACAAAAAATTTAGTCTATGAAGGATTTTATTTTTATAAATTAGAAAAATTGAACATATATTTGTAGGAGGCAGAGGTTACAGATATGTGAGAAATTTTCTTGACCTTTATGCAATTTGACTATGAATTCATTGTGACTCAGTTCCAAACTGATAAGCATTCATTATGCACTTGGAGGCTCTGAGACAGCAATAGTAATGACAGCCACTGTCAACTCGTGGAGCTTACATTCCCCCGTTGAAAGCAAGCAGGAGAACAAGTGAAGAAAGAAACTCACTACAGATAGTGATAGATGCTACAAAGGAAATGAGCAAGGTGCTGGGAGAGAATCAAAAAAGTAGAGGGGCATCCTTCCACAGGAGGTCAGCAGCCCAGGTAGGGTAGAGACCCACAGGATGGTCAGCAGCCTTTCATGCGGAGTGAGGGCAGCTCTGGCAGGAGGAGGAGCAATGTACAAGTCCTGAGAGGGGAAAGAGTTTAGGGTGTCCTGGGAAGTCAACAGACACCAGTGTGGCTGGGGTATATATTAAGTGGCAAGGGAAAGGCACCAGATGAGGTTAGGAAAATAAGCAGGGGCTAGATATGTTCAGGCCTGATGACTATGGTAAGGAGTAATTAAAAGCCATGGAGAGTTTTAAGCAGGAGACATTATTTAATTTCTGTTTTTAAAAGATCACCCTACACACCCATTAGCATGGTTATTATATTAAAAAAAAAAAAAAAACCTGAAACAAAGTAACACATGTTGGCAAAGATGTGGAGAAATTGGAATCTTTGTGCATTGTTAGTGGGAATGTAAAATAGTGTAGCTACTGTGAAAAACAGTATAGCAGTTCCACAAGATATTAAAAATAGAATTACCATATGATTTAGTGATTCTACTTCTGAGTATACACTGAAAATAATTGAAAGCAGGGATTCAGACAGGTATTTGAACACCTATGTTCACAGCATCATTATTTATAATAGCCAAAAGATGAAAACAATCTAAATGTCCATTAATAGATGGATGGATAAACAAAATGTGGTATATACATATATGGGACATTATTCATGCTTAAAAAGCAAGGAAATTCTGATGCATGCTACAATAAGGATGAACTTTAAAAATATCACACTAAGTGAAATAAGCCAGACACAAAAGAAACAAATACAGGATGATTCCACTTACATGAGGTAACTAGAGTAGTCAAATTCAGAAAGAGAAAGTAGAATTATGGCCAGTGGGTGCTGGGGAGAGGGAGGAAATAGGGAGTTCATTATTTAATGGTTACAGAGTTTCAGTTTGGGAAGATGAAAAAGTTCTGGAGATAAGTGGATGGTGGTGATGGGTGCACAATAATGCATGCACTGAACTCGCACTTTAAACAGTTAAAATTATACATTTTATGTTATATATATATATTTGTATATGTATATATATTTGTGTATATATATGTGTATGTGTGTGTGTGTGTGTGTATAGATATATATATTTGGGTTTTTTGTTTGTTTTTGAGAGGGAGTCTCGCTCTGTCATCAGGCTGGAGTGCAGTGGCATGATCTCGGCTCACTGCAACCTCTGCCTCCTGGGTTCAAGCGATTCTCCTGCCTCAGCCTCCTGAGTAGCTGGGACTGCAGGTGCGCATCACCACGCCCAGCTAATTATTTTGTAGTTTTAGTAGAGATGGGGTTCCACCATGTTGGCCAGGCTGGTCTCGAACTCCTGACCTCAAGTGATCTGCCTGCCTTGGCCTCCCAAATTGCTGGGATTACAGGCGTGAGCCACCGCGCCCAGCCATGTTAAGTATATTTTATCACAATAAAAAATGCTAGTGACCTTAAAAGATACATATCACTCTGGCTGTTATGCGAAGAATGGTTTGGAGGGGAACAACAGTGAAGTGGAAAGACCAATTGGAAGACAGTGGCAGCAGCTGAGGTGAAAGGGACCTGGAGGACTGAACTAGAGAGAGGGAGACCCTCTTCCCATTGGTGAGGCCATTTTAATAACGGATTCTGTAATGACTATGTGAAAGAAGCATCTTCTACATCCACCACTGCAAGTAGGTTGAACATGGATATGGACATTCTTATTCCAATGAGTTCCACTTTCAGTCAATTCATTTACCAACCAACCAACAAAGCTAATACTCATCAGTGTTCTGCGTGTGGGTGTGGGTGTGTGTGGGTGCATGCATGCCAGTGCTTTGCAGTACTATGCTCTAAAAAATGAGAAAGTCTTCATGTAAATCCACATGTGCTATTAGCTCAGACTTCCAGATTTTTTTATGTAAATGATACCTTAAAATCACAAACAAATTAGACAAAAACACAAATCCCACCAATTCTAAATTTTTGACATGCATTAAAATATTCCTGAAGACTTTATTTCCACAAATTATCGACATTAACTGTTCTGTGTGAATTTTACTTGATAAATTTTGTATAGTGTAAGTAGACAGATGTTTCATTTGACTTACATGATATACACATGCAGGAAAAAATAGTAATTACTATAATTTTGACTATTATTTGTTCAAAATGTCCTTTCTCTAGATTGAACATTGGAAATATACTAATGTCTTTCTAGATATGTTTCTGTTTAATTTCACGGGAAGTTCCTTAGATTTCTGCAGTACAAACTGCTCCTGGATATATTGTAAAGATGTGAGAGCAGCTTCCATACCAAGCCCTAGGTAGGGAGGCTTGACAGATTGATATATCATAATACAAAAACACAAGAGGATTTTTTTTTCAAGAGTATGTTTGACAGACTGGGGCCAAAGTGTAAAATGACTACGTTTATCTAATACCTATGTGTAATATTTGAATATCCTCTTTCTATCCTCGTGATCTGCTTAGGAGTGACTTTTTTAATGTTATAGATGAAAGCTTGACTTAAGGAATACTTTCAGCCTGTACTTTGGTTTTTCTCTCCTTCCTTTACAAATGATGAAAACTTTCAAGTGTATTACTTGGTGAAATATTTCAGAGTGCATTATTTAATTCTGTTCTGTTCTGAAAGGAACATTATAAAACAATTCCCACTGGCACATGAACAAATAGCTTCCATTTGTTAAACAAAGCCTTTCTGGTTTTTAACTCTCTGACTTCCTGAAAGTTATATCCAAAGAAACAAATCTGAAATGCTGTATTCTCTTTGTTCAGATGGAATTGCTACTTCCTAATGAATTAATGTTCAGAAATTTTGGCATCTTGGTCAGCAGCCAAAGTTCCGCAAACTTTGCATGTAACGGCAGCAGGAAAGGAGATGACAAAGAGGTCTCCACAAATCCTCTGTAGACCACTGTGTAACCTTGGACCATGTATCGGGAAAATCTTGCTACTAATTGGAAGCATACACACACTTAATGATTTTGCAAGCTGGAAGTTGAAACTTTTCAACTGTGAGCAGAAAAATGTGCTAAATGACTTTTCAGTCGAGGGGTTTTAAAAACTGGTATTTTCACACGGCTATGCCTGCACAGCATATAGCTCGCTAGTGAAATTAATAGTTTCTAAGAGCTCTAAAACAAAACAAGTTAGAAGTAACATTATTGGGAAGTTAATTTCTGATTTGTTCTCAAGGAAAAAGCAGCTCACTTCATTATAATCTTCTGCAATATGAGACCAGAAGTGGGATTTTATTTTTCCTGTATTTACTTGGAATTCCAAAATAAACCATATCATAGTTTTCAACTAGGCCTAGCTCATTAAGTATATTTCACCTTTCTATGAGTAACAGCAGTTCCTCTTCAAAGAGCTCATACTAAGTAATTATGTTCTTAATGAGTCAAAAGCAAAAGTTATTTTAGTCTTAAATATATATATGTAAATTGCTTTTAAAACCATCTGATTTAGAATTTTAGACTAAATATTTGAAAAGATAAGAGATGATTGTATATTTTTAAAACTACTAAACTGATATTTTTACTTTCTATAAAAATATAATGTGAAAATCATAGACTTTGTGGTTTACTTTAGCCAAAGTATAGGAGAGCTATTGAAGACATCATATTTTAGGAAAGCACTTTACATATATATTTTTTCACACCCATTTGTTCACCCAAGGAGCATTTTGCATTTTGGCATCAATGTCACATTGAACAAGAAAAGCTAGTTGCTTCAAAGCACAAATTAAATGGCCATATAAATGTCCAGAATTGTCCTTTACAGGTTTTCCAATGAAAGTAATAATAATTGCATTTGGTTCTTATTAAGGCCATGCAAATGCTGTATTCCACTGTGCCTCAAACTTTTAAGTGTGTGTGAACGTTCTGGGGACCAACATGTAGCAATTACATGGATTAGGCCTGGCACAGGGCCTGAGAATGTGCATTTCTAACAACGCTTCAGGATATATTGTCCACCACAGTCTATGAAATGCTGTACTTTACTATCTAAAATTTGTACATGTTTTGACATAGAAGATGTTCACCATCAATTGTTAAGTAAAGAAAGCAGATTTCTAATAGTATATATTGTAGGATACCATTTAGGAAGAGAAGAAAAGCATTTCTTATATGCCAAGAAGAGAAGGTAAAAACTATTTAAAACAACAGCCAGTCAGAACTATTTCTGCCCACCAGAGGAATGGCATGGTTTCTCTCTAGCCTGAAATACCCGTTGTTTAGGAAAGATGCCTAAGCAGGCTTGGGTGTAGCAACCGAGACGCTCCAGAAAATGGTCTGGAAAGAACCATCAAAATAGACCAAACATTGAATTGTTCCCGACAAGGACAGTCACAGGATCTGGAGCAGGAGGAGGGCTGAGTGAAGAGAATCGTTAGCTGAGAGAGAGAGAGAGAGAGAGAGAGAGAGAGAGAGAGAGAGAGAGAGAGAGAGAGAGAGAGAGAGAGAGAGAGAGAGACAGAGACAGAGAGACAGAGAGACAGAGAGACAGAGAGACAGAGACAGACAGAGACTGCCCAGCCCAGTGATGCAGCAGGTGGCTTTCACTCTTGTATAGCAAGACATCCTCAGGATGAAGTAGCTAAAGGAATTTTGAAAATGGAGATGTGTTGCAGCCATGCTGTGTTCTTCTGTAACATTTTCCAGCCCCCGACTCTACTCCTGGCAAAGGGAATCTCAGGATCAAGTACTAGGAGCTGTGTTCCATGTCTGCATCTGCACAAGATACTAGACACAAGGGAGATCAAGACAGCGGTAGAAGCAGTAAATTGAAGCAAGATGTGACCAGGAAAACTGTTTGCCCAATTTCCAAGAATCCCTGGGGATATGGTGAGGAATAAAAAGTTTTCCAATGTAAAGGAGGTCCTGGGGTGAATTACATGTAAAATTCCCAGAACAGAATGACTCCCACCAGTTATAGGACTTGGAGTCATTTAAGCAATTGATATTTATGTGATGCAGACAAAGAAAACACTGGGAAAAATAGACACCAAAGTGATAACTTTGTTTTCTTTGAGTGGTGGGATTGTGGATGATTTTTTTTTTTGCTTACCTACATTATCTAATTTAGGAAATAAAATGCATTCCTTCAAAATAAAAGTATTTTTAAATCTCACCCCCTCCCCCAATGATGCCACATTCCAGCAGAAATGATATTCAAGCTGAGATGTGAAGAATAAAAAGTGTTATCTGAGTTAAAAGTGGGAATGTCTGGGAGAGGTTTCCATGTGCCAAGGCCCTAGGACAGGGAAGAGCTAGTTGCAAGGAAAGAATGGAGCAGTTCGAGTGGGGTGAAAAAGAGCTGATGACCCCAGCTGAGACTACACCAGCAGTCATGGGAGGAGCACAGAGAGCCTCAGAGGCTGGAAAAGCAGTGTGATTATATTCTTACTGCAATGGCAAACAATCAAAAGATTTTAAGCAGGTAGTGACATGATCTGATTCATATTTTTTAAATATCAGGGTAGGAGAAGAGATGGAAGTGAGAAAGCTGGGGAAGAGTGGAGCCCAGGAAGTTAGATAAGAGCCCTTTGCAGCTCCCAGGCAAAAGGGAACAATGGAGTTAGTGCCAGTGATGGAGTTAGAATTGACAGGTTTTGGAGACACATGGGCTAGGAAACAGAAAATTAAAAAGCAAACAAGCAAGCAAAAATCAAACACATACACACACATAAAAACAGTCTCCAAGGTTCAGCACTTGAGCAAGTAAGTGGTGGAGGTACCCTTTTCTGAGATGGAGACCTGGGAGAAATGGGTGTTAAAAGAAACAGCAAAAGTTCAGTTTTAGAAATATTGAGTTTGAGGTGCCTGTAAAATAGCTAAGGAAAGATAATTGGTAGAAGATTTGATAAATAAGTCATGGATGAGCTGGAAACCACTGGTCTCTAAGTAAGGAGCATATATAATTTACCATCAAAACTAGGACACTTCTGAGAGAAAAAGGATATGCTATTAAGAATTTTGCTGAGACAACAGGCATAACTATGGGAGAGTATTAAGGGAAAAGAGAAAGAGACCTAGAACTGACCTCTGATAAATTCCATTATTTATCATTAGGTGGTAAGTGAAGAAGAAAGAGCTCAAATTGCCCAAACATAGTTTGGAAATTAAATCCCCAGTGCAACAGAGTTGCAAGGTAAGACCTTTAAGAGGTGATTAGATCATGAGGGTTCTGCCCTCATGAATGGATTAATACCATTATTGTGGAAGTGGGTTAGTTATCATGGGAGTGTTTTCCTAATTAAATGAGGAGTTCAGCTCTCTTCTCCACCCTCTCTCATGCCAGTGCTCTCTTGTCCTTCCACCTTCCCACCATGGGATGAGACAGCAAGAAGGCCCTCATCAGATGCCAGCACCTTGATATTAAACTTCCCAGCCTTCAAAACTATGAGAAATAAATCTATTTTCTTTATAAATTACCCAGTTTGTGGTACTCTGTTACAGCAACACACAATGGACTAAGACAAAAGGAATGCTCAACTGCATCAAATATGGTTAGCAGCTCTAATAAGACTGCTGAAAAACGTTCATTGGATTTGGCAATATGGAAATAATTGATAATCTCAGCAAAGGTAGTTTGGAAGAAGATAACGAGTTGAAGAGTGAATACAAACTGAGGAAGTAGAGACAGTAGAGGCAGTTATGTACCACTCTTAGAAGAGTCTGGAAAGGAGAATATAGTTATCTAACAGTAGTGGCAAGGGAATATGAGACAAGGATAGGGACAAGTGAATTTAGTATAAGAGACACTAGAGACTGAAAGATTATAAAAAAGATCCAGAAAAACTTTCTAGTAGAATAAGTCTACCGGAATGTTCATAGAAGTATTGTTTACAGGAGCCAAAACCTGGAAGTAAACCAAGTATCCATCAACAGAAGAGAAGATGAATACACTATGGCATATTTATGCAGTGGAATATTATACAGAAGATGGATGAACTGTAGTAACACAGAAATGTGGATCAATCTTGGAAATATATTTAAAAAGTAAATCCCAAGCAATTACATACCTTATTATGCTCAAAAATAAACTTTTAAGATTCTAAATAAATGCAATAAAACTATGTAAAATCAGAAAAAGGAATTGATGAACAAGGAATTTTAGGTGATGGTCATCTCATGTCAGAGATGCAGGGTGATGACAAGATGGAGTGGATCCTGGAACCTGGGGTTCAGATGAAGATCATTGCAGGTTTCCAGGTTGTGTTTCATGAAGTGGATTTATAGATGATTACTACACTGTAAAAAAATAAAAATAGCCATGAATAGATCAATGTTAGGAGGATTTTATGAATCACATTTATGATTAGTGTAGGTGTTTGCACTCAGGCTTGATGGCCAGGGTGGAAGTATAGGGGAGAAATTAGTTGATTAGTTCTATAATGACCTGAAGACAGTCACAAAATGCTCCCATAAAAATACACAGCTATCTCCAACATAACAGTTGAGGCAGAGGAAAAGGTATTGCTACAAAGACAGAAGCTAAAGAGAAAAATTCTTCTATCTTTACAAGTAAGGTAGTTCCAGCATTTTCTGTAGACAGTAGAGAGATGTTATGCCATTCTCAATTACGAGATTTCCTCTTACCTTTTTCTGGGCATCAGAGAATATTCAGTCTACCAAGACGAGTTGTTTGGGGGCTATTTTTGAAATCTGCTATTCTTCTTGCTTCAATTACAGCAGCAACTTAATTGTTTCATGTATGGTACAATAGTCTTTTAAAATTATTTTATTTGTGATATTTCTATTGATGTAAAGCAATATACCTATTGTTATTTTAACACACTCACACGATTCATAATCATTACATTAATAGCCAAATCTCTAAAAGCTTGCTTGGCAGTTTTATGGAGAATAGATTTTGCCCAGTAGAATGCTATGCTTTTATTTCTCCTCCCTCACATGAGCTACTTTATTAAATTTCCTTTTACTGATTTCAGCCTATGTATCCCATTTATCAAGATCAAATTGCATTTTAAGAACATCTCTTAAACTATTTGTAATTCCTCCCCAATTTTTTATCATCAGCATCTCATTCCAGTAGAGTACTTTCCACTTTCACATCTGAATGCTTCAGAAACATACGGGGAAAAAATTGAAACAATCAACAGTAAGTAAGTCAGAATTTTGTTAGACAAAAGCAAATAGGGTAGGGCAAGCTCAAATGACTCATTTCTCACTGCTTGGTTGGCAGCTGTGAGAAAACTCCCAGTAGCTTGGCTTTTGTTCTATCTTTATGACAATCCCAAAACACTCTTTAAGACTGTGGGTAGGAGGAGATTGCTGATTTCCTAGGGGTTATATTAACCAAATGTTTTCCCTAGAATCAGCTTTGGCTGCTTTCTCTCCTCTAGGAATTCTTTTGAGTAGAATCCAAGGCTATATAATGCAGTGCTCTAATCAGCACCAGAAGAACTGTGACCACTCAGACTGTTTCTTCCCACTGCACAGCACCCTGAGAATAAGACAGACAACTAGCAGCCAGATTTTCAATTATTCTACTGGGTTCTGATTAATTCATTGATTTGTGGACTTATTAATCTCTTCAGTTACTTAAGTAATTATAAAGTCTAGCATGCATTTGGCCTATTAATGGTTTGGGTCTAGAAGATCTGAGTTAGCTGGTTACACTGTGAAGATCACACTGTGGTTCCCCCAACCCATGTTTCAATGCTGTCTTCCTCCTCCACGTCCCCAACCCATGTTTCAATGCTGTCTTCCTCCTCCACGTGGATCCTTCTCTTGACCAGAGAGGTAACGATGTTGCAAGCCAAGATTTGTGATTTGCAAGATACAGCATGCTGGAACTTAAAAAGCTAGGCCATAAAGGATATTAGGCCCAGAGTTCCTGCTATGACAAAAGATTGGAAGGAGAGTAGAGAAAAGCCAGGCCATCCCGCCTCCGCAGACACAGTCTGTTCACACTCGTGAGCAGCACTTTCAGATAGGTGAAAAAAGCAGCTTATAGGCTGTGTCTGGTCGGCCCCATTCTGGCTTAATCCCAGAGGAAGAGGAGCACCATAGAACTTTCTTTAGTTATGACAATAAGCACCAAGACACCTGTGCCTTGCTTCCTGGGTGAAATCTAGAGAATGGAGAACTTCAGGGGAAAAGATCCCTACAACAGCAAGGCCTGGAAACAGAACACTTCTCTCTGGGGGTTTGCAAGGACAGAAAGCCCCACAGCAATCCCCATGCCACCCTGCATGGGAGAGAGATGTTTACATGGAGTGCTAGGGCCTTGGTAAGCTACCTGGGAAGTCCAAGTGTTGATGATAGGGTATAATGAGGCAACTCAATGTTTCCCCTGGCAGCAAAGAACAATGCAGGTGGGATACTGAGAAGCAGCAGGCAGGTGTGGATCTTACATTACTAGTGAGAAGTCACAGACTCCAGTGAAGGGGAACACAGCCCAAATGCCACATGGATTGTGTGAATCCAGCTCAAAGGGCTCAGCTGGGCTGCCTTAATAGGTACCAGTGGGGGATGTCACTGATCACTACAAATAATGGACCACTTGCATTGCCAGAAGATGCCAGGAAGACCAGTAGGACCATCCCAGTCTAAAGGTCCTACCTGACAACACAGCAGGGACAGCAAGTTCCCCTCCACATGCAGATACAAAAGAGAAAGAGAAGAATAGGGAAGAGAAAACCCAAATTGACTGAGAACATCTTGAATTTGAATAAGAAAAATCACTGAAGGAAAAATGTTTACCTGGAAGTGATGAGAATGGGTTTTCTGTACCAAGAATAATGTCATCTCAAAATTGAGATTGGGTCATTATAGAGAATTAAGTTAAATTCTACTTGTACACTCCTGGGCATCTGACCCATGAAACAGTATCTGCTACACAGATAATTAAAGAAATATTCCTTGCATTCAAGGAACCCACAGTCTAACAAAAAAGAAATACACTTTGTGCTCATAGTATTTATTATATTATGGTTCCTTATTCCTAAGCTTGGTGTGGCACTTCCTCATAAACTCCATGACAGCGGGAACTACTTCTGCCTTTGTTCACTATCATGGTCCCACTGCATAGCACAGTGCCCAGCATACAGTAGATGGTCAACATTTACTCATTATATTTATTAGGGTAATTACTTTGTTAGTTATACTGATGAACATTCATTGTTGATTACTGAAATAATTATTAAAGAAAATAATTGTTTTAAGTGACTTTTATGTGCTAGGCATTCCACCAAGACATTCACACATATTATTTGACAAATATATAATCTTATCTTCAGTGCTGAGTAACGTAAGTTGAAAAGTCCCATTAGAATTTGATCACATAGGATTATTACTTAGGAGTCCCTGTATCTCATCTTGCTCTCCTCCAACCCACACTATAGTCATAATTATCTTCCTAAAATGCATATCTGACCATTGCCCATATGAATTTATAGCCATAAACTCAGATAAACAGGAAATACCTTGTTTCTTTAACTATGCGTAAATTTTATTCTGAGCCCATAGTCAGACATACTGTGGAGAAATTCAATCTCAGTCATAAACATGCCTTCTCCTTTTTTGGGGTCACACAAACACGCTTCAGGGTGGAAGCTTCTTTGGCCTTTAGCCAACAGGGCTCACTACTGAAACACCCAGTGTCAGCCTTCCCGTCCCTCAGAGTTGAGGAATCGCTGTTCCTGTGCCCAGGAACAGGCGAGGAGCCCCCGCAATTAGCCAACCTCACCTGGAGCCCCTCTCATCCATTCACCACCAGTACAGATCCATGCATCAACTCTCAGCAGGGTCGGAACCCACTGACCACAGGTCCTTCCCAGACTTGGGGAAATTATTCTCTCCCCCACTAGTACCCTTACAGGCTCTTCTCCTCTACTCAAAGTCAAGTATCATTTCTCCTGCAACCTTAGCTTTTCAAAATCTAGACATTCCTGTGGTCATTGAAGCAGCTTCCCCTTCACTCACCTGTCCCCACCAAAAGTCCTGAGGCAAGAAGACCAAAAGACCAGGATATCAGAATCATTGAATAAAGGAGTAAATAAAGGGAGAAAACAAATTTTTAGGATTATGCTACCATTTGATTATATCACTTCCTTGTTTAAAATCCTTCAATAGTTTTTCATTGCTCCTAAGAAAAAGACCAAACTCCTCTCTATGGCCAAAAAGATGGCTTCCCTCATACCCACCTCAACTGAACAGGGAGACCCAAAGGGGTCTGATCTCATCCCACCTCTGTAGCTTTACAGTAAAGAATGTTGTCAAATACCCAGTGAGATTATTTTTTCCCAGTTTTTAGGAAACTGTAAAACACCAAAGAACTAACTACCTCACATTGTAAGATCAGAGACCCAGAGAACTGCCCATTGTTAGGGCTTGCTGCCTACTCTCAGGGCTGACAGAAATTGCCATTTCTGCATATAACCTTAACCCCACTGTCACCACAACCAAGTATTAATAATAAGAGGACCGAGGAAAGAGAAAGTTTGCATTTTAGAGAACTGCAGTGTCTGTGGAATAGACTATCCCGGCCGGGCTCGGTGGCTCATGCCTATAATCCCAGCACTTTGGGAGGCCAAGGAGGGTGGATCACCTGAGGTCAGGAGTTCAAGACCAGCCTGGCCAACATGGTGAAACCCAGCCTCTACTAAAAATACAAAAAAATTAACCAGGCATGGTGGCAGGCACCTGCAGTCCCAGCTACTCAGGAGGCTGAGTCAGAAGAATCGCTTGAACACAGGAGGTGGAGGTTGCAGTGAGCAGAGATTGCGTCATTGTACTCCAGCCTGGGCAACAAGAGCAAAACTCTGCCTCAAAAAAAAAAAAAAAAAGAAGAAGAAGAAGAAAAGAAAAGAAATAGACTATCCCTTCCCTAAGCTAACTCTGAGAGGAGTAAAGGGAGTTGTTACTATCCCCAAATCCAAGGGAGGCCCAAGAGAATGACTCTCAAAGAATGGTTGTGCCTTCACTCCACAAGTCAAGGACTAATGACGATTCCCTCTCTTGTCTGAAAGCTGTCTCATCGCTAAAACCCTAGATCATCTGATGCTGCTGAAACTGCCACTTTAGGGCATTGGGGGAGTTAGCGGGGAGGTAAGGGAAGAATCCATTCATTTCCTGTGGGCAGGTGGACCAGAGGAAGGTGGCTGCATTTGAGCAGTCTTGCCAGTGCCCACTAAGATGTCTCACTGCTGGTTAACTTAAACCCAACAGCAAGAGGTCATGGAATGGAACATGTAAGGTGGGGATTAGGGAGTAGGACGAAGAGGTTAGACCTCAAGCAAGACCTTCCATAAGTTCTACTGAAGAACCACACATAGGTCTGCCTTTGGACAATGCTTGCCTCACAGATGCATCCAATAGGAAGTAAGTATTAGCCAGAGGAGGGGCCAACTGAGTCATCACACAAGGAGATCTCGGTCTTTGTCTACCATTTCTTCTGCCCCAACACCAGAAAGAAGCGGAGGAAAGGGGAGAGGGGGGAAGGGTGTGAGAACTGACTACACCTGCTTTCCATTTCTATGGTTTTTTTTTTGTTTTGTTTTTTGGGGGTTTTTTGTTTTGTTTTGTTTTGTTTGAGATGGAGTCTCGCTCTGTCGCCCAGGCTGGAGTAGAGTGGCACAATCTCAGCTCACCGCAACCTCCACCTCCCGAGTTTAAGTGATTCTCCTACCTCAGTTTCCCAAGTAGCTGGGACTACAGGTGTGCACCACCATGCCCAGCTAATTTTTGCATTTTTTTAGTAGAGATGGTGTTTCACTATATGTTGGCCAGGCTGTTCTTGAACTCCTGACCTCAGGTGATCCACCCGCCTCAGCCTCCCAAAGTGCTGGGATTATAGGCCTGAGCCACCACGCCCAGCCATGCCTTCCATTTCTTAGTTTGTATCTCTGCTCACATCTCTTTGTGACTCTAAACTCTTCTGCCTCCTATTCTACTTTAAAGAACTCTTGTGATTATTGGACCCACCGTGATAATATAGGCCCAGCTTCCTATTTTAAGGTCAGCTGATAAACAACCTTAATACCAGCCACAACCTTAATTCTCCTTTGTTATGTAATACAACATGTTCCAGGGTTAAAATGTGGACATCTTTAGGGAGCCATTATTCTGCCTTCCAAAGCACTTGTATTAGTCAGGGTTCTCCAGAGAAGCAGAACCAGCTGGGTACATAAACGGATTTAATGAAATGGCTCACATGATTGTGAAGGTTTGGTGAGTCCAAAATCTGATGGGGGAGGCTGGGAGGCTGGAGACTCAGGGAAGAATCACAGTTTGAGTCCAAAGGTGGTCTGCTGCAGAATTTCCTCCTCTTGCTGGGGAGAGGTCAGCCCTTTGTTCTTTTCAGGCCTTCTGCAGATTGGATGAGGCCCAATTTGGAGGGTAATATATGCAGGATATAAGAGAGCAGCTGCTTTACTCAAAGCCCACAGATTTACATGTAAATTACATCCAAACACACCCTCACAGAAATATCCAGAATAGTATTTGACCAAAGAGCTGGGCCCCATGGCCCAGCCAGTTGACACATAAAATTAACCATCGGAGTGTTACCTTACCAAAGAGCCAAAATGTCTCAATAATTCATTTATACTTACATCTAGTCAGTCTCATTAAACTTGCCCTCTCTGGTATAGCCAGAAAGCAGACATTCTCTTGTTTCAATCTTTCCACCATACTGTTTCTAACTCCAACTCACCCTTTACAACTTTCTTGAGGAGACCTTTTCCATGTACTCCCACAGTAATAGCTTCTATTTATTGAGTGTGAGAAAAGAAAAATAGCTCAGAGCAGTCTGAACTATGTGAGGTATGCAAAATTTATCGGACCTAGAGAGATATAAGTATGGGAATTCAGTCACCTCCACCCCTACACTCATACTGGAGGCAATTGTTTAAAGGCATTTTGTTCCTGACTAGCTGCCTTACCCATTATCTTTATGTTCCTGGAATTTGTGATACAGAGAATGTATAGCCAGTCAATAGCTTAAATTGTTTCAATATAAATTACTGGTAGACAACTTAGGAACTGCCTCTTCTTTTTTCCTTTAAAAACCCACTCGTAACTGCTATTAATTCAGGGCAACTTGAATCTATGCTCTGGGGTGGCCATCCTCAAGCTTTGAGTTCCAATAAACCCTACTTAATTGTATTCTCTGAATCTCATTATTTGACTTAGACAAATGTGTGTCCAACTGTGGATTATGTGCCAGACACTGCTCTGTTTTACATACATTAACTATTGAGCCAATTAGCTGCAAGGCCACTAAACTGACTGCTTTTGAAGTCGGTTTTGAAGAGGAGAAAACTGAGGCACATGGAGGTGAAGTAACTTACCCAAAGTTATTTAGTTGAGCAAGTGGCCACAGCTATGAAATCTCCTTTGCAAAATTATGACAGTAAGAGAAATTTGACATAGTTGACTTCATTTTGCTTCTGACCTCCAAGCTGTCATTGGTCATTCTTGGGCATATACCAAGCTAACTTTGGGAGGAATTTAGTTTATAGTTTGTCTTTGAAGCAAGGATGATAACAGTCCCTCCCTAAAAGTACTCTTCTCCCTGTTCAGGGGCTAAAACTAACTTAGTGAGACTTATGAAAGGCCATAATACTAGGATTATGGGAGGGACCTGAATTCTGCTAAGAGATAGGTGTAGTTTCTATACTCCCTTACTGCTCAGGAATCATGTAGCTAGAAGTCACAAGATTTGAGACTTTCCCAATTGCTCCTATAGATAGCATTACTATCATAGAACCTAAGATTTTGTGGTTTTTTTTGAGATGTTTTTCAGATGGATCCAACCCAGCTTTGAGACTCATGACTCAACTGGTCTAGTCCTGTGGCCCCACTCAGAGGCAGATTCAGCACACAAAGACCATTTTCCACACCCCTATGGATTTAACCCTAACCAATTAGCAGCACCCGTTCCCCAGCCCTCTGCCCACCAAACTGTCCATAAAAACTCTAACCTTCAAGCCTCTGGGGAGACTGATTTGAGTGATAACTCCAGTTTTCCCATGTGGCTGATCTCTAGTCAATTAAACTCTCTTTACTGCAGTGCCTTGGTCTCAGTGAATTGATGGCTGTGCAGCAGACAGGAAAAGCCCACTGGGTGATTACAGCTGAGCAAATGGCAAAACTGGGATCCAAACATAGTGGCATTCATAATCTTCCTCTTAATTTCCAGGCTAGAGCACCCAAGCAGAGAAGGTGCCTATGGAGTATATGAAAATCGCCTGTATTCCTTCTGTACTTAACATAGGACCATAAAGTAGACTGCTAAAGCAATGCGCCCATAGTAGGGGTAGTGTTAGGACTATCTAGGGTTTCAAAACTGTTGAATCTGAATACCTTTTGATGAGCAGCAGCCTCAAATTCAGCCACAATCACCATCTCTCCCTGATTTTTGTATTTCCCCCATCCTCACTCCCTTCAGGCATTTATGTCACCTGCCTGACCTAAGAAAGCAATGGAATTTGCAACCCCAGTTTCAACTTAGATAAAGGCCAAAACTACTTTAATCTTGTTCACAGTTATTTCCCAGTGCTTAATACAATCACTGACACATGGCAATGTCTGGTCATCAAAATAGGATCCAGTTAGAAGTGACAGTGAGCAAACAGGGTCAGAGAAATTATAGTTGCCTAGTATCAGAAAGTCAGAAGGGAGCAGACTTAGGACTCTTTATCCTCAGACTCCAAAGCCCATGTTTTAAAAGCTCACTACAATATGATGTGGAGACGATGTTTCATTCTGTCTGTTTATAGTTTTGGTTGGTTATTTCAAATAAAGCTGTGATATATAAATAAAAAAGAGAGATTGGCTTAGGAGAATAACTTATCTTTTGACATAATGAATCAAACTTTACAAAATGCATTGGTACCAGACACAGTGGCGCTGGCCTGTAATCCCAGCACTGTGGAATGCTGAGGCAGGAGGATCACTTGGGCCCAGGAGTTCAAAACCAGCCTGGGAAACATAGTGAGATCCCTTCTCTACAAATAATTTTTTAAAATTATCTGGGCATGGTTGGCACATGCCTGTGGTCCCAGCTACTCAAGAGGCTGAGATGGGAGAATTGCTTGACCCTGGGCGGTTGAGGCTGCAGTGAGCCATGATCATGCCACTGCACTCCAACCTGGGTGACAAAGTAAGATCCTGCCTCAAAAAACAAAACAAAACAAAAAAACACATTACTGTCATATGTGGCATCTGGGGCCAGGAGAACTCTGCATAGTTCTATTCTCTAGGAACTTATCTCTAGAGAAGCTGACTTGGATCAGTTAAAATCATGAGCTATCCCAATCATGAATAAAGTTTTGCAAAATAAGGTTAACAAGTCCTATACCCATAAGATTTCAAAGATTGGAAGTCTATGCAGACTTCCTTATCTGTGTGCACTTTCTTCAGACAACTGGCCTATGAAGGAAATAGATGGACAATAAACCAAGCCACAGACCAGATAATTACCAGTTTGCCAACCTCGATTATGATTTATTAGACAAGAAAGTATAACAGTGCTACTCAACTATTAAACAACCTCTGATTTACAAATGTCATTGTTCTGGCCTAACAGGCATTATGGGATGGGATGAAAAGGGAATAGTGATGAAGTTAATGGAGGTTCTACACATTTTTCAGGAAATCACACAAGAACTTGCAGCAAAATAATAAGTTATAAAGTTATCAAGATGGATGTAACACAGAGATAAAATGGTATACGTTAACAAGGGCCAGTGGGCTTTCCCCAAAAGCCTTTAAAATAGTGCATGCAACAGATTTAAACCATTTTAATCACAGATTCTGGCATATTGTTTAAAATAACACAAGGCCCAGCACGGTGGCTCATGCCTGTAATCCCAGCACTTTGGAAGGACAAAGCAGGTGGGTCACTTGAAGGCAAAAGTTCGAGATCAGCCTGGCCAACATGGTGAAACCCCATCTGTACTAAAAATACAAAATTAGATGGGTGTGGTGGCACGCACCTGTAATCCCAGCTACTGGGGAGACTGAGGCAGGAGAATCTCTTGAACTTGGGAGGCAGCGGTTGCAGTGAGCCAAGATGGCGCCACTGCACTCTAGCCTGGATGACAGAGTGAGACTTCTTCTCAAAAGAAAACAAAACACAAAATATAAATTTAATGGAAATTAGGTCTCTCTAATAGAATGTTCTACTTTGTAGCATTTTTCAGAAATGAAATTATTTAAACAGTAATTTTAATTTCCTCTTGTATGTCTGTTTTCTTTATTGACAGAGATCCCCAATCCACATGCCCCTTCCTTCTTAGCATCAGAACTCCAGTTTTCTTTGGTTCAGCAACGCACTTAGCTACAAGGCTGAAGTTCCAGCTTTCTTTGCACCTAGGTATACCCATGCAGTTCAGTGGTCAGATATATAAATTGAACTCCCATGTGGAACATCTGGGAAGGCTGCTTATGGGAACTGACTCAGCTGGGAGAAGGAATATTTTGTTCTTTCATCCTTTCTCCTTTTTTGAGATGGAGTCTCACTCTATCCTCAGGCTGGAGTGCAGTGGCACCATCTCAGCTCACTGCAACCTCCACCTGCTAGGGTCACACAATTCTCCTGCCTCAGCCTGCAAAGTAGCTGGGAGTACAGGCATGAGTCATCACACCCGGCTAATTTTTGTATTTTTAGTAGAGACAGGGTTTTACCATGTTGGCGAGGCCGGTCTCAAACTCCTAACCTCAAGTGATCCGCCAGCCTCAGCCTCCCAAAGTGCTGGGATTATAGGAGTGAGCTACTGTGCCCGGTCCCTATCTCCCTTCTTTCTTGCAGCTGGCACAAACCGAATGTTTAAGATGCAACTAAGACAGTGGGGCAGGAAGAAGGAGACCAGGGAGATGCCAGAACAGCCCTGAATTCCCTAACTCCAGACTCCCTATTTCTGGGAGAGAAAGAAACCTTACTATTTAAGCTAGTATTATTTCTTAATCGCCACAGCTGAACCATATCCTAAGTGATAGACCACAGGGATCATAATCTCCAATATCAAGATACAATATGTCCATCCTGGCCAACATGGTAAAACCCCGTCTCTACTAAGAATACAAAAATTAGCCAGGTGTGGTGGTACATCCTGTAATCCTAGCTACTTGGGAGGCTGAGGCAGGAGAATTGCTTGAACATAGGAGGCAGAAGTTGCAGTGAGCCAAGATTGCGCCACTGCACTCCAGCCTGGGGACAGAGTGAGACTCAGCCTCAAAAAAAATAAAATAAAATAAAAATAAATAAATAAAATATGTGTTATAATTTTTTTGGAGGGGGTGCATTTTCAAAGTGGTGACTGCTAATCTTTATATCATTTAAATTGATTTAAAGTGGTTTGATTCTAAACTCACTGAAATCTCTCCACAAATAGTAGTTTAGCAAATCAACAACCTCATCTGGCAGACTGGGCAGAATAACCAATTCATTCCTAAAGATATGCATCAGGTTTCTTCTTTGTCACTATACTGATTTCTGACAAAACGAAAATCAGAAAAGTCTGTGAAGAGAACTCTATGGGTTTCTCCATTAGCAAATGAATCTGTCTACTAATCTTTCTAATCTTTCAAATTCAGACTCTGCAACTTTACAAAATTGCAGGTTTTAAAAATTTGGAATGTATATTAGTATACCACCACTAACAACTTTTAGAATACACAAACTTACAGAAGCATAGTCAGTTTTTCTAACATTAATTTACTCAACATGTTCCATCCTTTGTGAAAAGTCTATTTAAGACTGGAAACTGAGTCAGTCAACATAGAAAAGGTCCCCCACCCTAGTTTTGGCTGGTCACCTTTGCCGGATGTTGTTTAACTTGTTCTATCCCCACTGTTTCCTATGATTTGGAAGTTAGATTTCTAACTAACGTCAATTAGACTCAAGTTAGATTTTTTTTTTTTGAGACAGGTTTTTCGAGACAAGGTCTCACTCTGTCACCTAGAGCACTGAAGTGCAGTGATACAATCTCAGCTCACTGCAGCCTCAACCTGCCAGGCTCAGGTGATCCTCCTGCCTCAACCTCCTGAATAGCTGGGACCACAGGCATGCACCACCATGCCTGGCTATTTATTATTATTATTTGTAGAGATGGGGCCTCCCTATGTTGCCCAAGCTGGTCTCAAACTCCTGGGCTCAAGTGAACCTTCTGCCTCAGCCTCCCAAAGTGCTGGGATTACAGGTGTGAACCACTGTGCTCAGCCAAGTTTGATTTTTACATGATTTTTACTTCATAGATGGTGCCATCTATTTCACCATGCATCATATTGGGAGCACCTCTTGTTTGGTTTTTGTCCCTTTTAGTAAAGCTTAAGATTAATCAGAGTTCAGTTCTCCACCACCATTTCTTTTTTTTTTTTTTTAAAGGGAGTCTCACTGTTGCTCAGGCTGGAGTGCGGTGGCACAATCTTGGCTCACTGCAACCTCCGTCTCCCAGGTTCAAGCAATTCTCCTGCCTCAGCCTCCCGAGTAGCTGGGATCACAGGCATATGCCACCATGCCTGGCTAATTTTTGTACTTTTGGTAGAGACGGAGTTTCGCCATGTTGGCTAGGCTGGTCTCGAACTCCTGAGTTCAGGTGATCTACCTGCCTCGGTCTTCCAAAGTCCTGGGATTACAGGCATCAGCCACTGCGCCCAGCCTCTACCACCATCTCAATGACTATTACCTGCACCAGATATTTCATTAGAGCTTACAAAATAATATTTTTCAAATTCTATTATTCCTTCTGCATTTATTAGCCAGAATTTTTCTGCAGAGAAAACTTTTTCCTCATCAACCAATGCCATTTGATTATCCTGAAAAAAATAGTTTATACCAGAAAGCTGAGGTGAATGCTTCATTATTTTCCTTTAGTTATCAATGTTTAGAGTAATGAGCTGGGTCCTGGTTTCTCTTGTTCTTAGCCTAAAAGACCGCGAGTACAGCTTATTCATCATTGCAGTGGCCCAGTGCATGTTAATGAGTGTTTAGCTACTGCTCTCTACAAGACCTGTTCCCTGACTCTATTAAGTTTTTCTTTATGTTTGAGGAGGATGTGGGAGCAAAACAAAGCAAAAGGACCAACTCAGGTCCAATTTTGATTAAAATTGTAAAAATAGGCATTCCCCTTCTTCCCCTGATCAATACCCTGCCTGATCATCCTCCCTAATTCTTAGATGTTTTAAAATGCCGCTTGGCTACACAGAGCTGCTCTAAGCCTGCTCCACTCAATGAGGCCTAATGCCTCTAAATTATTCCTCTCTCCATCTGGGTACAAACTCCTGTAAGTCCCATCTTCTTCTTTCAGTTGCCAACTAGCACAGGGGTCGCCAGCCCTCAGGACATGGACCCCAGTACTGATTGTTGGCCTGTTAGGAAAAGTCCCACACAGCAGGAGGTAATCAGGCATTGCTGCCTGAGTGCCCCCTTCTGTCGGATCAGCCGCAGTATTAGATTCTCATGGGAGCTTGAACCCTATTGTGAACTATGAGGGATCTAGGTGGCTCCTTCTGATAATCTAATGCCCGATGATCTATCACTGTCTCCCATCACACCCATATGGGAACATCTAGTTCCAAGAAACAAGCTCAGGGCTGCTACTGATTCTACATTACGGTAAGTACGTGATAATGGTAGAAATAAAGTGCACAATAAACGTAATGCGCTTGAATCATCCCAAAACCATGCCCCCCGCCCTCATCCCTGGAAAAAATGTCTTTCACAAAACCAGTTCCTGGTGCCAAAAAGGTTGGGGACCGCAGAACTAGTACAGCTTAATGCACATGGGGTTTTAGAATGGAATACTGAAAAAACATGATACTATCAACTAAAGTATTCCAGTAAGAACGATGGTTGATGCTGACTGGTATAAAATGTTTTCCAAAGTCCTTTGCTATTACACTTTTCACCTCACATTGTAGCTATAGCCTGTTTTACCCTCAAGTAGACTGTCGACTTCTCAAGTATAGGATTTCATCTTATTCATCTTTGTATCCTTTAGTACCTAGAATGGCTCCTGACCCATATAGGTGCTCAGTAAATATTTTGAGTGAGAATGAAAAATGAAATATTTCCCATGAATAAAAGCTAGTACTATATGCTACAGACATACCATCTGTACCAGAGCTTGGGATAGAATAAGAGAGGAGCATCCACCTTCTGATCACAAATACCTCAGCTATAGCAAATCTAGGGGTTGGCAGAAAATGGAGGGGGCACCTCAGAGTGTCTGCATCTGTTATGAACCAAACAGTTCAATCGCAGCTATTAAAAAAGGATGATGTTTCATACCACATAGGTGTTTATTTAAAGAAAAATGTTGGCCATATGCAGTGGCTCATGCCTGTAATCCCAATACCTTGGGAGGCTGAGGCAGGAGGATCCCTTGAGTCCAGGAGCTTGAGACCAGGCTTGGCAACAGAGATAGACTCCATCTTTGCAAAAATGAATTTAATTTAATTATTTAATTTTTTAAAAAAAGTAAAATGCCATTCACAGTAGCTAGCACTCTAGTTATTGGCCATTGGGAAAAATTCAAATTCGTAATGTACCATTTCTTTAACTTTATTATTATTATTCTCTTCTCTTTATAACTCAGGGAAATGTTTTTCTTTTTAAATTATCATTTATTATAGGTTTATTATTCTTCTACATTTCCCAATCTACATAAGCCTATAAGACAACTAAAAGAGATGCAAAAAAAATTTATCATGTGAAGGCTCAGCATTCAATTTCCTTTCATCTCATAGTACCTTTTACAATAAATCTTGAACATGATGCATTTGCATATTCTCCCTGAACAAGGCAGATAGCTTTTGGAAATTTTAGTTTGATTTAGGAAATACCTAACATGTTTTGCCAACCCTTTGTTCACGTGGGTAAAGGTACATTGTTCATGTTCATTTTCAATTACACTTGGAAATGTAGCCATCATTACTAAACTAAGTGTATTTTAATTTGTACATGTGTGAATCACTATCATGCTCAATATTTCAATTTTAGTTGAGGTTAGCTATTCAATTCATGCAAGTCTTTGTTGAGAACCCTAATTTACACAAACCTAGACATTCATTTTATCTCCAAAAAAACTGTGACAAGGATAATATCACAAAGCTTGTGATTTCTAATTGTAACTGTGCAAGGAGGCTGCTGCTCTATGTGTGTGTAGATTTAAATCCTTAAAAAAATCTTCAATGTCACTTTGAGCTGACAAGTATTTTTTATCTGACCATTCCCTGATAATACAAACACATAACCTTCCAACTGCTATTTAATCTCTCACACTTTAGACATATCTATAAGACAAAGCTTTATGAAGCTTAACTTTCAGATCTATATATTAATAACTCACTTCTTTTCCTTGTACTTCCAATTCACTAGTGAATCATCCCACAGTGCCCTTCAGTATAAGCAATAGGAACAATGGACAGTCTATTTCCCTCTCTGCGCTCCGTGTGATGGGTATGCGGCTCTGTCTCAGCATTTACCAAACAAAGATTTGCCTCCTTTCTTCATCAGACCAGACCTTTCTTGATTATTTTTCCTTTACTTGATCAAAGTGAAGCAAAAATTGTAGGTCATCAAAAAAGAGATCAGTCAAAAAAAACACTGCACTTTCCTCTTAATCTCTATCAAATTCAATGTCAAGTTGTATTTGTTTACTTTTTTAATGTGGTTATTAGAAGATGTAAAATTACCTATGTGGCTCACATTTGTGGCTTGCATTGTATTTCTGTTGGATAGTGCTGATCTAAATCCTACTCATTCTCCCTCAGCCCTGCCCTTTCCTGGAAGGCAGAATCCATTCAACCATTGCAGGGGTCCCCAACCAGTTCATGGCCTCTTAGGAACCAGACTGCACAGCATGATGTGAGTGGCACACAAGTGAGCATTACTGCCTGAGCTCTGCCTCCTGTCAGATCAGCAGAGGCATTAGATTCTCATAGAAATACGCATCCTATTGTGAACTGTGCATGCGAGGGATCTAGGTTGGCACTCCTTATGAGAATCTAATGATAAACGTAATGCTCTTGAATCATCCTGAAACCATCTCCACCACCCCCTCCTCCCACAAGTCCATAGAAAAAATGTCTTCCATGAAAACTATCCCTGGTGCCAAGACCGCTGCCCTATGGAATCCTGAGCTTTAGAATTGGCCTGATCACTCCTGTTGGGCAGAGGACAGAGGAATTGCCCATGGCTTGTAGCCAAGCCTGTGTGGACACAAACCTACCTGGGCAGTGTTCCAGGTAAGGAGATGGGAGTAGCTCTGACCCCTTTATTGATTTCCAAGGGACAGAAACTGTGGCCCCATTATAACATCCCACTACTCTATCAGGAACACAGGGGAGAGCAGCCTTCTTTTTAGAAACACAGGAAGAAGATGAGCATGGTTCCTAAACCAAGAAGGAGGCATAGGTAGGAACTTAGCCAAAGTCACAAATGTTCCTTCTTCACATAGATCTTGTCTTGGAAGGGGACACAGATGTGAATAAACCCAGGCAGAGAATAGTCCATCTCCATTATCCGCTAGTAAAACCCATTTCCATCAGAAACAGAAACGGTCACCTGGTGACGTTAGGAAGCTCAAGACCCCATCAAAAAGGAATTTTCTAAATGTCTTCCATAGAAGACTCACTAACTTCCCAGGCTGAAGAGACCAGCACTGTCACCTGTGAACTGGGCTATAAATATCTTGTGAGGAGAAAATAATGCATCCATTTTTAATGGTTTGCAAAAATACTAATTATCAGGATTACCTGGGGGAGCTTTTCAAAAGCCTGGTCTCCACCCTAAACCCACTCAGTAAGGATCTCTGGAGGTTGGTCAATGTGAACCAATGGCTAGAGCCTGCATGATGCTCACCCTTTCTACTAAGCAAAGAGAAATTCTTACAGGAATGAAATGAGGCCAGCTTCTGTCTCTTGATTCTCTAATGATTTTTTATGTTGTAGGGGAAGAAAAGGGTGGTGTGGGACATTGTGCTAAGAACTAAAATCTGGACACATGTTAGGGAACATGTATACCATAAAATGATTCATGGAATATACTCAGCAAGCTTATAATGTATAATATATCCAAACAATATTTGTTGTTAGATATGTTTAGACATAAGTTCTATGTATTGTTCTCACAGTATTTTAATAATACACTAGTGTGTTATTATGATTCTGTTCTTAAAAATTAATACCTGAGGATGTGGTATTATTGCTGGGAGATAATAGCTCCTTGTTGCAGAGCAGAATTCAAATATAAGGTAGTATGAGCATCTACTGTTCTTATCCATTAGGCTCCCTCTTTCCACCAGGAAAAATGTTCTTTCCTGATCCATGTGATATGGGAGTAAGTGTCAATTATAATTATAGGATCTTTCCTGACATCTGGCCACAAGAGTGAGCAAATGATCCAGTCCTTGGCTTCCCAATTATGATATTCCATACTGCAATTGATCCAAGGATCAAACAAGATCAAACCCCGAAGTAGGGGGTCACACTGTGATATCGAATATATGGATCCTGAGTGACTGTTTTTCTTCTTTCTGAGATTTTGACTTGGGAGAACTTTGAAACCTAGAACTTCTCAGAATCCTTTTCATTTGTTCCCAATTAAGTAGGAGCCATGGTTTAGAGGAACTAGCCCAAAATTCAGCTCCAGGGATGGACACAAAGTTTCATAACTATATTCTCATCTGCCTGGCCACAGTGACCATTTCCATCAGTGTAATGTGCAGGATTTCTATTTGGTGACTAGGGTAAAAGGGAACCCCTCTCTTGTTCTGGACAATATGGTGTATCACTGGGACACCCGAGGCTGCTACAGCCATTTGACTACCTGGGAGAAGTCAGTACAAGAATGTAGTCAACACATGAAGGACAGAGCCAAAAGAAACATAGACACGGAGACAGCCTGGATCAAACCTCTGCCGTGCAACCTCTAGTTATGTAAACCATGTAACTCCTTCATTATTAAAGCCAGTTTAATTACATTTTCTTTATGTGAAACTCAAAGTACTCTAACATATAGAATTAAGTGCTAAGAATGAGAAAATAAACCTCTTAAGACAGACTTGGCAGAGAGGAAGTGGGCCAGCAGAAGGCAGTGTGCAATCCAGTGTCCCTGCCTAAAGGTTGGTGATCCCTACCCAAGGGTCGTGTCAGCTGCCATTTATTTCCTCAAATTGCACATAATTTTCCTCGCAGTAAAGAAACTTTTTCCTGTACTGATGACTATTAAAAGGCATGAAAAGTAGAAAAATTTCTCTATTCTATTAAAAGTAGAAAAACGAAAGATAGCAGAGAGTATTGCCTGCTGCGCTCATCAGACATCATGGTCTGATCCCTGTAGGCGTTTGAGTTTACAAACCCTGCAGAAACTGCCACACAACTGATTTAGGGAGCAGATGGAGAGTCAGGGAGGAATATGGTATTTAAACATAAGTCCAGTTTAACAGAGGCCAGAAAGAGTATTCTGACAAAAAGGAATATCATGTGCAATGACCCCATGGCAGAAAAGAGCATCAGCATACAAAGGCTGCAAAGCCAAAGAGGCTGGAATGGAAAGATCATTGAGGAGCCTATAGTAGGTTGACCCTAAAGAATCACTCAACAGCATTTATTCTCAAATCTTAACCTACTCCAATATGTAATTGAGGTCTACAACTTAAAAAGACAATGTATTCTAATAGTTTCTATTGATTTCTTCAGACTACGTTTAGTCACTTAACTAAGGCATGCATAAAATCAGGAGGCTATCATGATCAAAAGAGTATCACCATGTGAGAATCTTTTTTAAGTTAGTAATATATAACTGCTTCAAATCTTCTCATTCATGAGTTTATATTATATCAAAATAGCTCATGCCATGTAGTATGCTAAATTTTTTTCCATTACTCAAGCCCACCAAGAGGTGTCAGGATCTTTGTAAGAATACTTTCAAATACAACACCAAGAATATCATACAAAATGCAGTTCAGATGTATCTGTTACTGTAGAGGTTTTGCAAGATGAATGATATGTGAAAGTGAGACAAGGAAATGTATATTTATTTGTGTTTTTCTTTAACAGCATAAATTCAAGGAACAGAGCACTAGGAAAAGAAAATTGAATTGTGCGCTCTTTAAGAAACTAATTTTTCAAGGGTGATATAATAAACTTTAAGACAATACCCAAGAGGGAGGACAATTACAGTTCTGTGTTAGAGCTACAGCCTCTGTAGACACATTTTGAGTCGGAATTTCTAACAGCTTCTGTTTCCAGTACTTCTTACCTCCTGAGTCAGGAGCAGCCTGAACCAATTTTTTAAATGACCAGGATTAAGATCAGATGTTTACAAAATTTTACCAAGCAAAAATCCCTGTGATTTTATGTGACACAGTGAAAGAGAGTCAAATATAAGCCTAGATTTATTAATATATTCTCTTTAGTTGTAAAGAATAAAGGATGGGACATGGTGTGATGATATAAAAGAGAGAGGGAACTTTCCAAGCTAAGCATAGTTCTGCATGGTGAGATAGAGCTAGACTTGTTAAGAGTGAGGACTAGGAGCTAGACTGCCTAGTTCATATCATTTATTACCTATGAAACTTTGTACAAGTTATTTAGCCTCTCTACATTTCTATTTTTTCATATGTAAAATAGAGATGATATAGTATCTCATAAAGTTGTGAAGATTACATAAGCTAATCGTGTTTAAACAGAACAGCATCTGGTGCATAAGAGGGTCTTCATAAATATTATTATGTCCCTGGTACGTAAGTGTTGTCATTCGCAAGATGTCTAGTAAGATGAAGAAATATTATAGGTTTCCATAGCTTGTTATTTCTAGGAAACTGCTGATCACTGTCTTAGAATTCATAGACTTCTCCTGATGACTTGGAACTTTGTTGGAAGTTTCAGAATTGATACCCTAAACTATTTACCTGTGATATTTCCTAAAGGTCAGTTTCTGAGAATGTCTGAACAATACTTGAATTTTACAGTTCCATGTATTAAGTAAATTATTTTTGTTAAATGATTTCATTTTTGAACACTTATTGGCACATGACACAATACAATGGCTGATGGCCACTTTTCCCTTTTGCTTTAACAAAACTCTTCTTAAGATAGGACAAGGAGCTGCTTCTTTAGGCTTAGGAATTTCCCTGCACGAACAGGATGTATGTCAAGGCTAAAAATTGGGTTACTGTGCAAATAGGGGAAAAGTGATGTGCACATTACTTATTATCCTATTTTTAGATTCACTGCCTGCCACACTGCTGCTAGAGTTATATCTGAAACACAGATGGGATTGTGTTATTCTGCTGCTTAAGTCTTCAAATGGCACTGCCTAGAAAATGTCCAAACTCCTTAACAAGCCCAAGGCTCGAAACAATCTGGTCCCAATCTGCCTTTGTAAGCCTGTCTCCACTCATTCCCTTCTCTACATCCATGCTGATTTCTGAATGCATCGTGCACTTGCTTCTATTCCTTTATTCATGTCGTTCCTATGATTAGAATACTTTCCTTATCTGGCATATTATCTGCCACCAAGCTCAACTGATATGCTGTCTGTGCCAGGCTTCATGCTTACTTCATCTCTCACTCGCTTCCAGGCAAAATTAATCGTTTTCTCCTTGGATCTTGTAAAGGCTTCATTTCAAGTACTGTGCTGGGGATAAAATAGGGAGTCAAAACAGACAGAGATAATGTGCTCTGCCTTTGTGGAGCACACAGTCTAATGGAGAGTAAGACATTAATTAATATCCCAAATATAAATTAAAACTATGATAAGAAGAGGATTATGGTGATATAAAATCATTTAGGATTTTTAAAGGATTTTCTAAAAGATCTGAAGAATAGCAGTAAACTAGGTGATGGGGGTAGGAAGAATATTCTGAGCAAAAAGAATATCATGTGCAAAGGCCCTGTGGCAGAAAAGAGCTTCAATGTGCAAGGGCTGCAGACCCAAAGAGGCTGGAATGGAAAGATCATTGAGGAACATAGGCCCTGAAAAATCACAAAACAGCCTTTCTTCCCAAACCTTAATCTACTCCAGTTAATCAACCCTCTTTGTCATCTGGAAGAAGATAATGTGAGATTTCAAGAAAATTCAATATGAAATTAATCATATTTTCAATATCCTATTGATACTGAAAACTGGCCCCTACAAACTACATAATTCATATTTCGTAAATAAAATTCATAAATGATCTTCCAGCACTACGTCCAGCATTCATAAATTAAATTTTTTCATTTTATTATTGGTTTTAATTTATAAAGGAAAAAGGTTTATTTGACTCACAGGTCCACATGGCTGGGGAGGCCTCACAATCACTGCAGAAGGCAAATGAGAAGCAAAGTCATGTCTTACATGGCAGCAGGCAAGAGCTCATTTTATTCTTTTGAGGTCTTTATGTACTGCTTCTGACTGGCTGTTCGTGAGTTACAAAAGCTGTGCCCAGAACCAGGAGTTGTCACTGCTCAGAAAATAAGGTAACAGCTTGTTTTTACTGGAAGGAGTAAATCAACACCTTTGACTTCTACTGCCAGTACAACCCTGCCCACCACCCCCAACACACACACACATACCCAGTATATCCTGTAGGACATAAGTAAACTAATTGTTAGGGAAATCAACAGCCCCTTATTTATTAGGTTACATTCTTCACAAGATTTCTAGTATAATTGATACTAGAAAATTGAGTATATTGTTCTGGAAGTAAACTCTTTCAAATATTCCTGAGGAGATTCATTTGCTGAAGCCTTTTCATACAAAAAAAAGGGGAGATATTTAATCTTTCAGGGTTCATTAAAAAAACAAGGTTTTTTAATGGGTGGTAGATTCTCTGTGGTTTTTTTAAGACAAATAGTTTTATATTTGAATTCTGTGTTTACTATAATTGCAGTTAGAATATGCAGTGATTTGACCTTTATTCCACTTATTCATTCAACACATATTTATTAAGTATTTACCATGGGCTCCTCATTATGACAATTATGGTCACAAATATTTTTGATCTATGTATTTTATTTCTTTAATTCACAAAACTGAAGTATCACAGAAAACAAAGTAATTCCTATAAGACTTACATATGTGTTCTATCCACTTGATCTTTATATGCAGAAATATCAGGTATTAATTTCCACTTTGTGATTGAGGATATTAGCATGCCATAACTAATTATAGTGCAGGTCACAGAAATGATGGATGAGGCAGCAAGAATTTTGAAGATGAGTCCAGAATCAAAGCACTCTATCACTTTTGATAGAATCAGAACAAAACTTTCCATTCCGTTTATGTGAAGTAGGTTACAGAGTAAAGCAAAAATGTAACCAGTCTCTCTGAATTCTAAAATTAGGGTTTTTGTGTTTTTACTAAATGCCTTTGTTGGAGCTTCTCTCTACTCAGGACAAGAAGTCCCACAGTGATGTAGAGAAAATGGAGTCATGGTAGACAGGGCTGTGCCAAATTTGTGCTGGTAACCCTGCTTATTACTATAAAAGGACCATCACCTGTTTGTCCACAGGCAGCCTGTCCTCAACTAGACATCCAAGCTCATTGTAACTGTTCCCTGCTAAGTTCAACTTCAGGTTCTCTCTGTTCTTTTTAAAGGAAAATTTATATGACTCTTTCCTTGTATTGCAGTAGTTCATACTTCTGTCTCCATCTGTCAGGTCTTTAAGTACTTATAATATCAAACACTCAACCAGAAATTTATGACCGTGGGGATACTGAATTGCCTCCAAACAGGAATAGGAGAGATGGCAGTATCTTTTTCCTCCATTAAGTCACTGTTTCACAAATAGTTATCTTTGTGATTTTGGAGAACACACACTCAATATTTTATTTACAACCAAGGGGCACCCTGCTTCTTATGTTTGTGTGTGTTTGGAAACACTTTTTGAAAATAGTGCATTTGCAATAGGATGACCTCTTTAAAATCAGATCCTCAAGAATTTTGAAATTATTATGGGTAGAAGCTGGAAAAAAACTAAAAACTGACATTCAAAACCTGTAAAAATATTTTATCTTGCAAGATATAAGTAACTTCAGTTCTCTTATGAGACTTGCTATTTCTTTGTTTTTGATTATGAGTGAATGGGCTCCCTTAGCTATAAAAATAAAAAATAAATATTAATCCATTGTCTTTGGGGATAACTCTGAAGCCCCATAAACACTGAAACTGGCATTAGGAATGAGAAACTATGAGCTCAGTGCACTGATATAAACTGGATGGAGTCTCTGCAGACATTGTTGCTTTTTTTATGGGGCAGGCAGTCAGGAAGAGAAAAATGTTTCTTTTTCCTTTGGAACTTAGAGTATACTACGCCTAAAAATTATCCCTCATTTGTGTGAAGAGATTGTATTTTCGTTTGAGCAGAAACTCTGAGATGAGAAGCTAAAATCAGAAAACCTGGGAAAAGCATGTATACAGCTTCTTTGAATCAAATTAGAAAAAGGACCCAAAAGAGACTGGACAAAACCTAATGACTTTCAAGCAGGAACACACTGTTAATGTTCTTTCTGTGCTACTTCACGAGACAACCCAGACTTTGAGAAATGTGCTGATTTTGTACCATTATGTTCTGAGGTCATTAATTTATTGGCCAGAGTATGAGGTCACACCCACACCCAGTAAGTAGACTTAGGACTGTCCTTGAAGAAGACAGTGGATATCCCACTGTCAATTACCTGTGAAGAGTCAGTTTCACAAACCCTTAGCCTTTTGTGAGAGTAAAAACCTTTTACCTATTTCTTGCCTCATAGCTATTTATAATAAACCTACAAAAACAAACAATTCCTGTTGCTTTCCTGATAATGAGGACCAAGTCACTGTCAGCTGCCTGGAGGTAGGCTGGAGAGCAGCCCTACCTGTTCTAGAGCTAAGCATGATTGTCCTGGTTAGACTTCCTAGGAGCACAAATCTGGTTCTCCGGATTCTAAAGGTTGCCCCATCCAGTAGCAGTTGTACATTTTTCAGTGCTAAACTTCCATTGGATTATATCCAAGTGTATGGATATAAAAAACGGTAAATACAATAATAACTAAAATGAAAAACTCACTAGAGGGGCCCAACAGCATATTTGAACTGGCAGAAAAAAGAACCAGTAAACTTTAAAACAGACTAGTTAATATTATCCAGCCTGAGGAATATAAAAGAAAAAGGGTAAAGAAAAATGTATAGAGCCTCAGAGATCTATGGGACACCATCAAATGTACCAGTATATGCATAAGGAAAGCCCAAAAAGAGAAGAGAGAGAGAAACAGGAATAAATATTTAAATAAACAATGGTTGAAACGTCCCAAATTCAATAAAAACGATTAATCTGCACATCTGAGAAGCTTAACAACTCTCAAATAGAATACACTCAAAGACAGACACACCTAGATATATTATACAGTTAAATTATGCTAAATTTGACCCGAAGCTGTCCTCATACCTTTAGGCCCTACATAAGGAACTGCCTCCTAACTTAGTACATAAAGACTTAACTTAGAAATATATTTTTGGTAACAATTGGCTGCATCTCAGCCAATAACAGCAGTCAAGCTTCAGCCAATCCCAGACAGCCAACTGATCAGACGATGTCAATATAAGGCAAATGCCAAGCTGTTTCTGTACCTCACTTCCATTTCCTATCTATAAATACTCCTTGTCCATGTTTTGAAGTGGAGCTCTCTGAACTACTGGTTCTGATTGGCTGCCTAATTCGCAAGTCATTAGTTGCTCAATTAAACTGTGTTCAGTTTAATCTGTCTAACGTTTTTCTTTCAACTATATTCACACTGTCAAAAGACAGCAGCAAAGAGAGAATCTTGGAAATAGCAAGAAAGTGATTCATTGTATACAAAGGATTCCCAATAAAATTGACAGCTTATTTCTGATCAAAAAGTATTGAAGCTGAAGGCAGTGGGATGATGATATGCAAAGGATTGAAAGAAAAACAATCTGTCGACCAAAAAATTTATATCCAACACAACTATCTTCAAAATTGAAGGAGAACTTAAGATATACTCAGACTTTAAAAACCTGAGAGTCACTGGCAGTTAACTCCTGGCCAACACCAACCTATCTTAGATTACTTAAACCTTGTGGCCTAATGGGAACTTTGTGTTCCCATTATTGCTGTTCTTATCTTAGAGTTGAAACACTTGATCCTCAATGTATTCCAAACTAAAAATGGGACTGTATCTCCGAATTTGCTTAGAATGTATTTTATACATCACTGAGAATTGATAAACACTTATTAAACTTTAAGGTAACCAAACAGCAGATTTAAAAGTACACCTTCTCCTATTTTGAATTGAAATGTGGACACAATTCTGTCTCTCTGAATCTAAGCATATGTTCATAATGTAATTTATGTTCTTTCCCTAAATGTGTTTATTGATCTATCAGGTAAAAATCAAGAGAGGTCAGTAGGAAGGTAGAAAGAAGTCACTAACTATAACCATTTTCCAAAATTTACATCAAATTTTCAGTAACTCTTAATAGTTGTATGGGCTAATACACTTCAAAAAAAGACGCTCATCATTTGACAGCTCTGAGTATGGGCTTTGCTCATCTTTAGCAAAGATGCTTTTTTAAAAATCAAGCACTATATTCACTTGCTCGTCTGGATATACTGACCTCGGTCTGATTATCTTTGACAATTGTGTTCAAATCAGCCTCCTCTACTCCTGGAAATCCTACCACAGGGCTCTTTGGATGTTTCATTTTTTTTCTAACTCAGTAGTTCCATTAACCTGTCTGGATTACTTGTCTTTTAAAACCAAAATACATCATCCTCTGTAAATCCTTTTCTGATATCCTGAAAACTGGTCATTCCCTCCTTGGCAGTTCCATTTCTACTTTTATTTCTAAAAAGTACATATCATATTATCCAGTAATTATCTGCCCACATGGCTGCCACTACCACTAGACTCTGATTCCTCCAGGAATAGCACCTCTCATGGATCTCTGTATCCCTGACACTCAACACAGTAACCAGCAAAGAGAAGGGCTCAGTGAGGACTGTTTTAATGAATCACCTGAAATATGTTACTACTTCACTAATGAATTATATATATAAAAGCCTATAATGGAGTAATTGGAGTTTTTTTTTCTTTTTTTTTTTTTTTTTTTTGAGACGGAGTCTTGCTCTGTAGCCTAGGCTGGAGTGCAGTGGTGCGATCTTGGCTCACTGCAACCTCCGCCTTGCGGGTTCAAGCAATTATCCTGCATCAGCCTCCCGAGTAGCTGGGATTACAGGCACATGCCACCATGCCCAGTTGATTTTTGTGTTTTTTTAGTAGAGGCAGGGTTTCACCATGTTGGCCAGGCTGGTCTTGAACTCCTGACCTTGTGGTACTCTCGCCTCGGCCTCCTAAAGTGCTGGGATTACAGGCATGACCCACCGCGCCCAGCCAGAGATTCTTAACGTAACAGTATCTAACACCAGCAACCTGAAAATAAGATACTCTCTGATAATTCACCAATGTAAAGAAAATCCTCCGCTTCTTCATGACTACTAGTGATATAGAAGGATGTGAGTAGTCAATGCGTTAGGGTACTTTGTGTATGTTTTATTTACTTGAACACATGAAGCAGTACCCTTAAGAAGTAATCAATATTGGCCAGGTGTGGTGGCTCACACCTGTGATCACAACACTTTGGGAGGCCAAGGCAGGCAGATCACTTGAGGTCAGGTGTTCGAGACAACCCTAGCCAACATGGTGAAACCCCATCTCTACCCAAAATACAAAAATTAGTTGGGCGTGGTGGTGCATGCCTGTAGTCCCAGGTACTTGGGGGGCTGAGGCAGAAGATCACTTGAACCTGGAAGGTAGAGGTTGCAGTGAGCCAAGATGGTGCCACTGCACTCCAGGCTGGGTGACAGAGGAAAAAAACAAAACAAACAAACAAACAAACAAAAAACAGTAATCAGTGTTAACCTCAGCAATTTGATCACTCATGCCAATCTATGTTGGATCAGCTCTCTTTACAAGTATTTCAAATGTGCCTAGGCATGTCTGAAAATAACAGTGAATTCAGGCTTTGTCCCAGAATGCAGTATACACAGTCAAGTAACTTACAGCACCTAAGTTAGTCATTTTATCTCCTTTTACCTAGTACAATGTTTGGCATAAGGTCAATGATAAATGGGTGTTGAGTCAGTTAGTTGAACGCAATTGTCTTGATTTAAATAATATGAGTATTTCTTGCATCTTTTTCTTGTATTTACTCCTGCTTCTATGCCTAGTCAAAGGCATGATCCTCTCTCTCAACACACCTCATCACTGAGGAAATAAATCCTTTTTTCAGAATGATTTTCTATGGTTATTCCTCTAGAGATCAATTCAGCCTCCATCTGCAACACTTGATGCCTCAAATAGAATTGCTTTCCTAGTTTTCCATTTCAGAATTTGCACTGAAATAGTAACAAGTATAATTTGATCACACAGAAATAGTCTCTTTTCATTAAACTCACATCCCTTGTGAACCTTCTTGAGTTTATTCTCAAGACCTTTCTAAATGATTTTCTGCAAGACAATAATAAAACTTCTTATCTCCCAATTTTTCTTCAACTTTTTCTTTTCTCAAACCTTTAGTATTTCTTTTTCTATGTCAACTGTTATTTACATTTATTTTCCCAAGACCCACACATTGGTCTAAAGATCAGTCTTGGTAATGTTATGTCTTCTTGTCCTACTTTTAAATACTATGGAGTCACCTTTTTGTCTGTGGTAAAATAGATTTCAGTGTAATCAACATATTGGAAAATGAAGTGCTTCTTCACTCTCCTCTAAATAATGGGTCATTTGGAAAGAATTGCATCTGTTATATGAGAAACAATTCCAAATATATTTCTTTATTGGCCATCTTAGATGAATTCATGCTGGTAGAGTATCAGTTTCTAACTATATTAGTCTGCTTGGGCTGCTATACAAAATATCATTGACTGGGTGACTTTAACCCCAAATATTTTCCACGGTGCTGGAGGCTGGGAAGTCCAAGATCAAGGTACTGATAGATTCAGTTCCTAGTGAGGGCTCTCTTCGTGGCTTGTAGACAGCTGTCTCCTTTCTCACTGTGTCCTCGCATAGGTGAAGAGAGAGAGAGTGTACGTTCTCTGGTGTCTCTTCTTCTAAGACAACTAATCATGACACAAAGGCCTACCCTCATGATCCCATCTAAGCCTAATTATGTCCCAAAGGCCCCATCTCCAAACACCATCACACTGGGAGGTAGAGCTTCAACATATGAGTTCTTGGTGGACACAAATCAGTCCACAGCACTAACATAACCCTGTTAAATAGAATAAGTTATAGATAAAACTCAGTCATCTCATTCTTCCTTTAAAGTATACATCTTTCTGATTCATATCAGATTATCAAAATTTCTGAAATGGTAGAACTTTAAAATAATTGACAATATGACTAATGATCACAATGAGCAGAACAACTCTCTGCCAGGCACTCTGAATTTTTTTTTTAATTGTATCTTGGCCAAAGTAGTCAGGTCAGTTTCAGAGGTTTCAACTTCACTTTCTCTGCTATGCTATTTTTTACAGCCAAAGGCTGCAATGTGGGTATTATTCCATCTGCCAAGTATATCAATCCCAATTATACATTTAGAGAGGCTGGGCATGTCACCACTAGGCGGGTCTGCAGAATGTGAACCTGACTTTAGTCAGGATTGCATTTGTTACTGGTCCCCATAGGTCTCTACTTGGGGGTCTCATGATTAATCTGTTCTCCAGATAGGAATGTCAACTCAGATCCCGAGTCTGCTCTTCAACTGTGTGCATTGTTCCACTGCAGATGATAAAGACATCCTTATTATTTACAAAGAAGATTATAGAAGAATCTTCTACAATTAGATTATAAGGATGCCTCTGGCTCCCACTTAGAATTTATTCTTTTTGTTTCCATAGACCTCTTCTGTGGACACCACTTATTAATCTACTTACTAATCTCAGTCAACTACTTATTAATCTCAGTTTCTCATCCCTCTGCTTGGGAGCAATAAATCATAGGAATAACCAGCTATCTCCACTGTCTTTATAGGCATTGTTGCCCTCTGTCTTTTAATTACCTGAATTATGGCACCTGCAAGGGTGTTCTCTTCCACAGGGACATTTTCTCAGATCACCTCCAGTGAAACCTTTAGAAACTGGACCGCCACCATGCACCAGGAATAATCAATGCCCTACACATCATTCAGGGTGGTGCCTTTTTGCCCGAGGGGAGTGAGTAAGCTAGTCCCCAAATATCCATCTTATTGACAATTTTATTGGACCTCCCCATGTCCAGTACCATCACTTTAGTTTGGATCCTCAAGAAATAGATGCATCACAGTTCTAAGAAAAATTTGGCCAGGATGGGAGGACTTCAGAATTATCCATTAGAAGAATCTGGTGTCCTACACTCGTACCACTAACATGTTCAGTCACAGGCTGGGAGCAGCCAGGGTGAGCCTTGACTAGTAAGAATGTGGTACTAAATTACCTAGGCTTGTTAGTCAAGATCTGGAACAGGAGGTCTAAGTGAAACTTTTTTTTGTGGTTGCTACAATAGGAGAGAATCCTTGTTTGGAGAAATTTACACTGTTGTATTTAATGATATTGGACATTATGTCTAAAACATGTTTTCAAATGTTCCAGAAAAATGATAATGGATGAGAGATTAAACAAATGTAGCAAAATGTTAATAGTTGGAGAATATAGATGAAGGTTATATGAGAGTTTTTATGCTGTTCTTGCAACTTCTCTGAAAGTTTAAAAGTATTTCAAAATAAATTAACTTTTAAAAATATGTTTTAAATCTAAGTTGTTTTGTAAACCTAACTCAAAGGAAAAATAAAATGTTTCACACTTAAGTTAATTACATTGTAAGGAAATGAGTCCACATTCCTTTTACATATAAATTAGATTGGAGGAAGATACAAAGTGAAGGGAAGACTTTTAAAAATATTAAAGTGGATTTTAATTCTAAAGGAAAAAGCCTGTTTTACCCATATAAAGGTGTATATCTATATATATAAAACAATACTGGAAGAGAGAAAATGCCTTCAGAAGGTAAGAAGAGGGTGAGCCCAGAACACATGAAGAGGAATATGCTTTCTACAGGGGGATGGAAACTAGAGACAAAGCAGACAGACACAGCCGGTCAAAATGGTGCTGAAGGGTATATAATATTTTTTGGAAAGTTTCTATATTCTCAATGAAAGATGAGACAATGTTAGATACTAAGTAGGGAGAGGTATAAGAGGAGATTTGTGAAGTAGGTAGCCTTGAAATAATCATTTGGGAGTGATTATTTCAGTAGGAAACAAGCACACTAAGAGGAACAGGGCTATGGCCAGATGGTGGTCAGTGAGTGGTCATCTAAGATTTGTTCTATGTATTGGCTTCTTATTGATGCTGTAACACATTACCACATACTTGTGGCTTGAAACAACAGAAACTTTTACAGTCTGAGAAGTCAGTACTCTGAAATCAGTTTTGTGGAGCTAAAATCAAGGTACAATCAGGGCCACATCCCTCTGGAGAGTCTAAGGGAGATGCAATTTCTATGCTTTTTCCAGCTTCCTACATTCCTTGATCATAATTCCTTTCCCTATCTTCAAAGCCACCAGGGTAGCATCTTCAAATTTCTCCCTCTCTCTGACCTCTGATTCTATCTTCACAATTCCTGCTTTGAACTTCCACCTCCTACCACCCTCTTATAAGGATTCATGTGATTACATTGGGCTCACCCTATAATCCAGGATAATCTCCCCCATCTCATGAGCCATAATTTAATTACATCTGCAAAGTCCCACATTCACAGGTTCTGGGGATCAGGACATGGGCATCCTTGGTGGGGGCATCATTCTGTCTACCACTGAGAAGTGAACACAGTCAAAAAAGTTGCATTTTTCTGCAGCTGATGGGAAAGAAGCCATGGAAGAAGCAGAGACTTGGTTTTTACCACAATTGTAACTCTACCAACCCTGGAGTGAGAGAGGACTAAACAAGCTAACGATAATTATAATGATAGACCTTAGAATCTAAGTTGGATAAGAAAGAACGAGAAGACACATTGATGGGGGTGAGGGTGATTCATAATGAGACAGTGGTAAGGCCAATGGGCTAAATGTCTGGATGGTGTCAAAGCATTGCTAAATAAGATGCCTCAAGTAGACTAGTAGATGCTAGGACTCAAGATTTCAGAAGCATAAAATCATGAGGTGAAAGATGTGACCACAGAAAAGCAGTGCTGAGGTGAGGTGAAAAACACTGATTGGGTTCAAAGGGGCCACTCAGGAATTGCTGTGATTAAGAAAGCTGGAAAGAGGTAACTCACTGAATAAAAGGAGTTAGGTTGATATTTGTCGACAGATGCAGCCCATGGAAACTAGAGTAAAACATTTGTTTCTAAACACGCTTATTCCAGCTAATCCTGTAGTTTTGCCTTGTTAACAAAACCAAAAGCAAACTCATAAGTATTACTAGATAGAAAATTTAAATCATTCCTGTGCTGATCTCTTTCATGAATTGCTAATAATCTGGGTTACTTGGTGTTATGGGCTAAATTGCATCCCCAGTAATGCCTATGGTGAAGCCCTAACCCCCAATACCTTGGAATATGAAGGTATTTGGAAATAGGACCTTTAAAAAGGTAACTAAGTTAACATAAGGGTGTCATAGGATGGATTGTAATCCAATCTGACTGGTGTCCTTATAAGAAGAGGAAATTAGGACACACACACACACACACACACACACACACAGACACCATAGGTGGGTGCACAGAGTAACAATCCTGATGACATGGCAAGAAAGTGGCCTTCTGTAAGGCAAGGAGAGAGGCTCAGGAGAAACCAAACCTGACACCTTGACTTCTGACTTCTAGCCTCTGAAACTGTGAGAAAATAAATTTCTGTTGCTGAAACCATCCAACTGGAACCACCATGCCTACTTTTAGAGATGATTAGCTAGAAATTGTTCCTAATTTTAACACTACTTTAGAAATTTCTTCCTACCTGGAAAGTTCTTTTTCTTTAGGATCTCAGAATTCATTTCCTCTTACTTAATCCCACTAATTCTCAGAGTCTTAGTGAAAGCGAAGTGAGGAGTATTAATGGGAGCAGAGAGAGGTGGTGGGCAAAATTCCATTATGGTCTGGACTTGACTTTGATCTGCATGGAGGCAGTCTTGGTATATGGAGATTGTGTTGTGAAATGCTCCTCGGAAAATACGCACGGCTGAGTCTTTTCCACAGGCTGTGTCTGGAAAAGTCTGAGTGCAAGCCGGCAGTAATTTAAGAGCAACTTAGGAGTCCAAGTTCTTTCTAGCCTGCCTCTACCACATGTTTTCCTTGTGGCAACTGATTTTCCATTGACAGGCTAAGGGGTTTTGTCATTTTTGAGTTAAGATGTTTTTGCTAAAACATTCAGGAAACAAGCAGGAGTAGGAGAATAGGATGTACAGTTCTAAGCAAACTAGCAGTGAAACATAAAAATTAAATGCCTTATGAAGGAGAGCTTGGCAAGATGACCCGCATTCTCCCACCAAAGACATTAAAAAGGCAAATGTCTCCATTTGGAAATGTTACAATGGGAACATAATGTTGTGTTCTTGTGTAGTCCAACTCATATTTTTTAGCTACCATGACATTAATTTGTGGATAGGTTTCTACTCTTTTGGATCTTCAAGTATTGGTAGAAACCACCAAAGTTTTGGTCACCAAATAATTTGTGGAGTTCCTGTAGGAAAAAAAGAGCAGAGATTGCTCAGTAAACACAAGCTGAGTGAAAGTCTTCATGTTGTTTCTTTCCCATGTCACCAGTCTGATTCATCTTTGGCAGCAGAGGCCTTTTGTAAAAGTCTACACCTGGTGTCGTCAATTGAGGCAGGCCACCTGCCCCAAGAGGAGCCAATCCACTGTAACTACTTGGAGAGCAACCTTCGCAGCCTTCACAGCACCCATTAGGTAGCACACTCCATCTTTAACTTGTCCTATGGGGCCTTCCTGCTGTTCCGTCAGCTCCTGCACCAAGTGCAGGGTGGATGCTCTCATCCAGAACATATCTGGATTCAATGATGCTCCGTTTGATACCCAAGAGGCTGTGCATAAATAGTAGTCCTGCCATGAATGCCTGTCACTGCCAAAAATGCATGGCAAGAGGAGAGCATGTGTTAGAATGCTTACAGCACAAAGGGGTACGTGCATGTATTTTTAAACAAACAGCAGAATTAAAACCGTAATTATTACTCATGGCTCCTTCATACGAGTTTCCCTCACTGTGAGAAAAAAATCAATTTTAATGTGTTTCATGAAATCAGAGAAGCGAAACCCATCATTTTACCAGTGAGACCCAAAGAAGTCTTTGTTCAATGTCACACAGAAGCTCACGATGTTTGCTTAATATTTGATCAAAGATGCTTGTTACAAGTTCGCATGGCCTTAGGATCACAGGTTCTAATGGAGTGAGCCTGGGTCAGGACCCAGAAATCTGAATTTTAACAACCACCTCCCCTTCGGTGATTTGAATGCAGGTGAGAAATACTTGGATAATTAATTGCAGGTCTCAGTCACTTCTGTCTTCAGTGGCAGCAAGCTACCTGTGACTTCAGTAGCCTGAAGGTCTCTTGCTAAGTACCTTCACCATAATATTCTTGTTTTAAATTAGAAACAAATCTTTGGAACTCATGTTGAGCTACAGCTGCTACAAGCATGGCTCGCAGGCAGCCAAAGTGTTTGTAATTATTCAGGAGGCAGCAAAAGGATGTTTATAATAAACATTTCATTTAGAAAAGTATTAAATCCTAGAGATGAAATAGTAAAATAAATAGCACTTAGAAAATTGTAAGGCCTATGCTAAAGTGACTGCCTTTTAAAGGCAGACAAAGCTGGAGTTGAGAAATGTCTCCCTGATTTCTTCCAAAGCCCTAGATTTAACCAGTGTCAGCCAGTCCACATAGGAAGGGACAACTTGGCGGGGAGGGGCCACTGGCAGGTGACAGTGGAAAGACACTAACCTGGGAGTCAGGAGATGTGGCCACTGGCTTTCCTTGTTCTACTAACTAGGTAGGTAGGCTCAATTAGGTCACTAAAACTATTGAATCTTGGTTTTCTGTCTATAAAAAACAAGCCTGCAGTGGTTTCCAGTCTGACAGCTCATGAGAACTATCTGGGGGTACAGATTCTTTAACTGTACTCCCAGAGATTTTCATTTGATAGGTCTACCTCCCCATGCACAAAGATATTTTCAGATCCAGTGGGTTCCACGGAAACTCACATCCACTTCAGTGTTCAAAGATTCCACCATAGCCCAACCTGAAGGTGGAGTGTGGGAAAAGACATGAGCAACAAGAACCAGAAAACTGTGCACAGTGAAACTGGCTTCAGACTCTCAACCTGAGAGCAACTGACCTGGTTTAGAGGTGACATATTCTAGAAGGTGCTTTCTGCCTTAACTAGGAATCCTAAATTCAGTACACTAAACACTGTGAATGACCTATTTACATAAATTTACCTTAGAAATTGTTCATGAATTAACCTTTAGATAGGTTCTTTTAATTTTTTTAAGTTGACAGATAACATTGTATGCTTTTATCATATACAACACGATGTTTCGAAGCATGCCTGTATTGAGGAATGGATGCGTTGATTCTTACAGCATCCCACAGCACATCCTAAGTTCTCTTGAACACAATTCAAGGTATAAAAAAATCTAGCTGTTGGATAATTTGGAGCTCAATTCTCTTTTAAATTCACTTGTTTCTAGTCATGAATGGATCTCAAATGAATTCAGCCATTTTTCCCTCACTCTTTTGAGGGAAAATGAATGCAGTTATTATAGTTTTCACTAGTGAAAGAGTATCTGATGCTTAGGCTCACATAAAATTACAATGGCCAAGGTAACACACATAATAAATCAGAAGACAAGGGTTAACTTACAGCAGTGGTTCCCAACCTTTTTGGCACCAGGGACTGGTTTCATGGAAGATAATTTTTCTACAGACAGGGTGGGGAGTGGGGGATGGTTTTGGATGAAACTGGTCCACCTCAGATCATCAGGTATTAGTTAGATTCTCATAAGGAGCGTGCAACCTAGATCCCTCGCATGCATGGTTCACAATAGGGTTCCCACTCCTACGAGAATCTCATGCCTCTGCTGATCTGACAAGAGACAGAGGTCAGGCAGTAATGCTCACTCATCCCTTGCTCACCTTCTGCTGTGTGGCCCAGTTCCTAACAGGCCACAGACTGGTACCAGTCCACGGCTGTGGGGTTTGTGGACCCCTGGCTTATAGAATCACTCAGACGCTTGGGCAAGTATAGTATGTACCAGAATCACTAGAACTTTTCTACAAATGTTCGTTGAGAAATACTGTCTGCAAATCTCTGTGCTACAGGTATTAGAGGAGAGTCAACATCCTACAATCTTCAAGATATATGACTGGGGTAGAGGATGAATATAGAAAGGCAACCACCAGTACCTACTTCATTCACCCAAGTTGCTTATACTGCAACATACAGCATAAACAGAGGTGTGCTGGAGCTGGCTAATATGAGCTTGCAAGATTCAATTGTTAAATTTTCAGAAGTTTTGCAAGTCAGTTGTTAAATACAGCTGTAATTAAAAATTAAACTTTATAAATTTAAAATAAAATGATATTACAAATAATGATGATGAATACTGAAAACTCACCACTTCCTAATAACTATACTACATTTTACTATTGTCTATACTCTTGGGGTGATTTATATCCATTATATCTGTATGGTGGAAATACAGCAAAATAATATACATCTCTTTCCAGCCTCAAATTCAGTGACATCATGTTGGTAGCTTGAAATCAGCCATGATGGTCAGGTTTACACCATAGAAAACAGCAAATGCTACAAACCAGGGCTTGAATTACTGTTCTGTTGATTGTCTAAATTGGGGGTTGACCAACATCTTTGATAGAAGTTCAGAGAGCAAATATTTTAGGCTTTACAGGCCATACAGTCTCTGTCATAACTACTCAATGTTACTGTCATAGTGAAAAAGCAGCCATGGACAACATGTAAATGCATATCATGGCTATGTTTCTATAAAACTTTATTTACAAAAAGAGGTGGCAGCCAGATTTGACCCATGGATGGTGGAGCCCAAAGGCTGAGGTCAGCTGAAGGAAATGAGGATGGTCCTGTCACATGGAAGCTGGTCCTGTCACATGGAAGCTGGTCCTGTTACATGGAAACTGGAAGCGATGTCCCTCAAGGAAGAGAGGGGTTGGTCAAAATACACTGGCTTCTTCCCTCCTCCAGCCCTCCAGTTGCTCACCAAGGTATTCCATCGATCAAATCCTAAGAAAAGCCAGATGAAGGGGACAAGAGGAAGCACTGTGCAGCTGTCACTCCACACTTAACAAAGTGATGGAGAAAATATTCATGCACATCACATTTAAAAGGATGTTGTGATATAGTGTAGCCATTACATCATGAGGAGCACAAAAAAGTTGAGGAAAAATTTTTCCAGTGTTCTAAAACTATTTTCCAAGTCAGCAAATTCTTCTCATCTCATTGATGAAACAGCATATATCATAGCTATTTCACTTTCATCTGAATTGCTAACATAAAATATCAACAAACATGTCAGAACTTCTTTTAAAATATATTTGTTTAAAAAATAATGTGTCTCTATACTTTTTGTCAGGTGATTGGTCACATATAAAAAGTTTTAAAATTGGCTCACATATAATCACTTGGGTGTTTTTTCCTTCTTCCTTTTTCTTTTCTTACTTTGTTTTTTAACCATTAGACTCAGAACACTTACCCCTAGTACTTATTTTGCTAATTTTCTGTACAAATTAGGATACTTTATACTACAGGTAACAAACATCCTAATTCAACCTGCCTTCAAAGCAAAGGGAGTTCCTTGGCTTAAATAACTGGAAGTCTAGAATACTAAGCAGGTTTCAGAGTTGATATCATCTGTGGCTCTGACCAGGTCCCTGCTGTTTTGCCCTCTGGTGTGTGTGGCTTCCCGTTTATGAAGTGACTGCAGCACTTCTGGGCCACACATCAGCTGCCAACAACATTCAGAGGAAGATTAGAAAAAACAAAACAAAAAACTCTCGCAGAAAAGAAAAGATGCACTTTCCTCATAATCTCTAGCACAGCACTCTTTAGTGCTTATTGGCACAAACTGGGTCCTATGTCAATTCCTGAACCAGTCCCCAGCAAGGGGGATAAGCTTATGTATAGGCCCACCCCTGGAGTTTTGAGGTAAGCAGGGTCAAACACCTGAACAAAAGGGAGCAGAGAGGATATGGATGATGAAAAGGTCACTGAAGAGATCCACTAGTATTTATTTCTCATTTACCTTTTCTTTTGGTTTTCATTTTCTCTGCAGCTTAATCTGAACTAAGATTGCTAAAAAGGAGATGTGTTCATAGCAGTTATGCTAAGTAGGCATTGAAAATTACCCCTTTGGATATGATAAAATTACTCCATTGGTCTATAAAAAAGACCCACAGCTCATTGACCAGAGCTTCAGTTAGTTCCAGAAAGGGCCAAAATTCATAGCCTTTAATCGACTTCAGTCAGTTAGAGCCAGTTGTGATGAAATGCAGCATTATGTTTTGATATCTCCTAGGTGAGAGTAAAATATTTTCTTGCCCAATGCAGTGGTGAGCACCTGTAGTCCCAGCTACTTGTGGGGCTGAGGCAGGAGGAGTGCTTGAGCCTAGAAGCTCCAGGCTGTGGTGCACTATGATCACACCTGTGAATAGCCACTGCATTCCAGCCTGGGCAACATAGCAAGACCCCATCTCTAAAAATTAAAAAAAGAAAATTATTTTTATATCACTTTGAACCCATATCAATCTGGGTCCAGCAAGAAACGCAGGAACCACCCTAACATTTAAATAGAGAGAATTTAAGTCAGAGAATTGGATACACAGGAGATAAAAGAGTTGAAAAATCAGAGGAAGATGAGAGATTAGCAAAAGCAAGAAGCTACTACCCCAACCCTAGGCTGGGGGGACAAAGGGAAAGTTGGTGACAGTAGAGACCAAAGGCTGATGTTGTCCGAAGTGAGGACCTTGATGGTCCTGTCACATAGAAGCTGGAAGAGATGTCCCTCAAAGCTGAAGGCAGGGAGTGGGGGTCAAAATACCCTGGCTCCTTCCTTGCTGCAGCCCTCCAATCTCTCACCAAGGTGTCCCATTGGTCAAACCCTGATATAAGCCAGATAAGGGAGAAATTGAGGACAACAGGAAGCACTGTCTGCAGCTGTCACTCCAGTCCCCATCCTTTGCCTATAGAGCCAAGAAAGAATGGATCTGATCACAAATAGGTCAAGGTCTAGTACAGAAGGTCTTGGAGGTATGTGTGCAAATACCCTGCAATTACACTTTACTCTTCCATAGGGAGCAAATATTTGAACCATTAGAACTGTGGCAGAATGAAATATTCTTTTTCTTCAACCATTATTTTACTTCCACTTTTTTATCCCTGGAAAAGATAGAATCTTTTCTGAGAGTAAAAAAATCAGTTCTGTTAACACAATGACATGTTAATATTTTATTCTTGAGAAGCAGCTAGGAGTGGCAAAAGGAAGGTTTGTTTTTCCTTGCAAATACTCCACCCTGGAAACATTTACATTTACATGAACATTTACAGAGACACTCCTAGAAGTTCATCTACACAGAAGAATGTTATTGTTTTTCTGGGTTATAATAGTCTTATTTTCTTATATTTAATTGTTTTTATTCTCTGATTTTTTTCAATGAATATATATTATTGAAGTTATTTTTTAAAGATTACAAATTGTTTTAAAGAATTACATCATTAAAAAAGGAATTGCAAATATTTGGTCAACAAGTCACTCTGCTTTCTGCTTTCACAAAATCTTCCGTATTGTTGTTCATGTCCATGATGCCTGGGAGGGCATGTAGGTGTAATCCATCCTGAGAAATAAAGTCAAATTCTCCAGTGTGAATATACCATGTTACTGCGGGAAAGCAGGGAGATAGTGTGGAATCCAGTAGGCTTATTGGGAAGGCTCTCCTTCACTGTTCTCATAGTGTTTTTATAGTCACGTGGCACTGTCTGCAGATGCTGGCCACCTGCTTGCTTGAACAGTAGATATAAGTAACTACTAACAATGCCAACCCATTCCCAAATGCCTCTTAAATGGTTAGGAGACTAGATGAACTGAAAATCAATTTTCCTGGCATGCTACTCCCTGGTACAAAGTATCTTAACTTTGACTGCCCATTAAGTTAAGCAGGGAAGCATGTTTTAATACTAATACCAGGATCCCATGCCTAGAAATTATCCACAGTTCCTACTTGTCAATTGCAGCCAGGGTTTGAGACCACCCCCGGTGAGGACCAGGCCAAAGTCCACCAAGGGTTTATTTCTGAAAGTGTTCCCTGATGCACATACATGAATCTCCTGCTGGGGATGGTATAATAGCTACTCTGCCTCTCCTCCTCAAAGCAAAGACTAAATGGAATTTTCTAGCTGTTAACATTAGACACTTTTAACCAGACATTTTGCTTAACTATCACCCACTCAAAAGGAGAATTGAAGACAGCCAGGTCAATTTAGCCTGTGGCTGGGCAGCAGCCTAAGACCTCTTTCCCCAACACAGAGTGAAGTTCAAGAAGGGCAAATCATTTACCCAAATTCTCCACAAGTGTCTTGGCTTTGTTAATTTTTAGTCCCAAGACACATCTGTAATAAAATTTAGGCACATACCCATAAACACAAAAAACACAGATAAATTTGCTGGTTTTAGCCCAAGTCCTACTTTGAGCAATAGGACCTTAGCTATATAATTTTCCTCATTTCACTAATGGAGAAACTGAAAAGGGGTGATATGGTTTGGATGTGTGTCTTCACCAAGTCTCACGTTGAATTGTAATCCCCAGTGTTAGACATGGGGCCAGATGGGAGGTGATTGGATCATTGGGGTAGTTTCTTATGAATGGCTTAGCACCACCCTCTTGGTGCTGTTCTCAGGATAGCGAGTTCTCCTAAGACCTGGTTGTTTAAAAGTGTGTAGCACCTCCCCCTCCCTCTTGTCCCTGCTCTCCCCATGTGAGACACCTTGCTCGCACTTTGCCTTCTACCGTGATTGTAAGTTTCCTGAGGCCTCCCCAGAAGCTGTGCAGGTACCAAATCATGCTTCCTGTACAGCCTGCAGAACTGGGAGCCAACTAAACCTCTTTTCTTTATAAATTGCCCAGTCTCCGATATTTCTCTATAGCAATATAAGAATGGACTGTACAAGGGGGTCATTTGATTTTCAATTTAAATATCTCTTCCCCCCGGGAAAAAGTCCCAGTTCCCTAAGTTCATGTCCTTTTCCTATGGTTCTGCCACCCCCTCTACTTCCCTATCGACCACATTTCATCCATTTCATCCTGTTTTATACTGTCCTGGTATTACCCAGTAAAGCAGGGATTCCATTCTCCTGTTCATCCCTGGCTCTCCAATGCCAGGCAGGATACACATTGCAGGGGAAATAGACAGCTATTCTACTTTCGTCAAATGACTATCTTCTTTTTTTTTTTTTTTTTCATGCTTGGAGTCATATATCTTAATATCTCTTTTTAAAAAACCACACTCTACTTAATACTTTAGGGAACATGATAGAAACATGAACTCCTTCAAATCCTTATCACTGTCATCATACATAGTAACACCTTCAGAATTGACTTGGAAGTTTAAACCAGGTCTACCAATTTACAAAAACAAATCTTAACAGCCAACTGAGTAAGACCTAAGAAGATAGCCCAAATTGGAAAGAAACTCCAAGGATTTATTTCTAGGGAAAAAATAAATAAACTTGAAGGAAAGTAAGTCAAAGAGTGAGCACAAGCATCAGAGGTGAATTGAAGGGGAGCCTGCTGGCTGAGACGTGGGAGAATTCTTAGATGATTACAGGCCATTTAGGCTGAGATTTACACTCTTAGTGGTTGGGAGTGCTTGGAAAATAATCAGCAGTCTGTTATTACTGAAAAAAAATAACGTTACAAGATGTGAGCCAACAGTACAAGGTAATAATCTCAAATACCTAAAAATCTTCCTAATTTTGTCTCAATATTGTAGAAGATGATGTCTAATGGAATGTATATTTTTAGAATTTCATACTTTTCCTAATGTTCTCACTTTTCTTCAAGCAAAGCAAAGGTACATTTAAGCCATTATTTTATAGAAAAAAAATTGTTAAAAAATACATTTTTCCCAGCTTCCACATCAATTTCCTATAGCCTTGAATAAATAAATGTTTGGCTAATGTTTTCTCATGTTTTTGAAAAAGACAATTATCTTGTGTTTCTAGGCACTAAAAGCCTCCACTAAGTAAATTGCATCTTTAAAAATGTGCCCCTTTTCCATGAAAATGTAGGAGGAAAAAAACCTACTAAATCTCTTTCAAACAATTCTGTAGAATTTTCTTTTTCTTCTTGCTTTCTCCATTTTGTGAACTCATGCTTGACTCCCAATACCTCCATCTGTCTTGCAAAAATGAAAATCTGGTACATACATTCTTCTCCTAGGTATTTGTCAAAACTCAGAGAGAAGGCTATACTCTTTCACACGCTGTCTTTCCTGCGCTCCGTATTCCCTCATAGGCAGGATGGGAGTGCTCTTGGTATTTCTCCACTTTTCTCCTCCCCATCTCACAAGCAGATCTCTATATTCCCCCTTCCTAGTGGCAGAAGAGGGAAAGAAGGCTAGTTTCTACAAATACAACATTTAGTCAAAAAGAAAAACAGTGTCAGTAAAGCAGACTCCCCTTGCTGATAGGGGAAGTAGGCAACTAAGAAATGCTGTTGGAAACAGTTGCTCAAGAACAAAAAACAAATTCAAGCACTCAAATAACCAGGAGACAAGTTGATGGGTTGTGAGCCATGCTGAATTAGAAACTAAAACATTAGGAGACAGTACTAAACAACACGCTGTTGGGCTTAACCTCAATGGTCAACATCAGTAAGGTCAATACCAGTTTATTATCAGCTCTGACACCAGAAGTCCTTGTTTAAGGCAAAAGACTGAGGTTTCCTGCCGGGCCTGGGAATTATGTACACATGAAAAGCAGGTCAGGTCACAGCAGCCTGACAGCTACCCAGTATTGTAGGATAATATTTTTAGGGATTAACTGAGGTTTCTCTCCCTGTCCCCTGTTTTAAAAAACAAAAATAATCTTTAAACAAATTAGTTATGAAAATATATAAAAATTGTACTAAATCTTACTTCAAGGGAAAAGGCCTTAGCAGACCAATTCAAAGATTCAGTAGGGTATTTTAGAGGAATAGACAATGACTCTATGGGTGTTTCTCAACCTCAGCACTATTGACATTTTGGGCCTGATAATTCTTCATTGTTAGGATGTACAGGATGTTTGGTAGCATCCCTGGCCTCTACCACTAAATGCCAGTAACACCAACACCCCAAGTTGTGACAATCAGAAAATACCCTCAGACACTGCCAAATGTTCCCTGGGGGACAAAATTGCCTTTGGTTAAAAAGCACACATTGTTAGATTCAAAAAACAACAAAAAAAGAATGGTTTGTTAAAAGTTATTAAATTCTCGACAGACATCAGCTGGCTAAGTGAGTGACTGGATTCCCAAAACAAGTTTTGATCACATTAGAATCCCTCAGGAAATCGCTTAAATATTTTTTCAGGAATGCTATTTCCCACCCCCCTAGAAGGAGATTGTGAATTACATTACACAAAAGTTCCGTCCCAGATGAGCTTTGGGGCAATTTTCTTTTACAGTCTTCATGGACACACTTATTTGTGTTCATCACCCTCTCCCCAGGCATTTAAGCGATAACAATGGCAGCTTTTCATCTGTGCTGCTGTTGAGGGAAGGAAGCATGAAAAAATAAGATGGATGAATTTCTAAATATTATTATTAAATGCCTAGCTGAAGCAATCATGGAAAGTTAATCCATGAAAGCCAGAGCTCCTCTTGTAAGAACTAGGCTTTTTGAAATAACAAACATGTATTGAACTCAAAGTTTTAGAATCTGGAACATTGAGAGTATAAAAAGATGCAAGATGCAATATTCCCACCAAAAGAAAAAAAATGGTAGAAATACAGAGATCAAGTTAGATACAGGGAGTTATTTCTGAAAGGGCTCTATACCTGACCTCAACCAAAGTTAAAACACAGATATGGCAGAGGGGGTGACACATCGGGAAACACACCCAGATCCCAAAAGCAATAAGGGCAGGTCAAAACAAACTCTAAAGGGCTACAAAGGGCTAAAAAAAAAATGACCCTGTAGCAGAGAGCTAGAGGACTGACCACCCAAATCAAGTTTCAAATGAAAGTCACAGCTAGACCTTGGGGGAACTTACAGCTTCACCAAGAGCTGGGTCAGCTGAGTCAGCAGAATGAGACCTCTTGTCCACAGGTCATGCTAAAAGTATGAGGGAGTTAAGCCAGTGGTGGACACCCCAACAGTGGATGCAGCAACAGCAGAGTGGGAGGGGGGAAAAGCGGGGCAGTGGAGAAGATAGATCTCAGAGAGTACATGACTAAAAAATGTTAAACAGTTCTTGATGACAAAAGACAGCACTAGATTTGTGAAGCTAAGCAAACTATACTGACTTCTCCCCTCCTGAGGAGTTCAGGAAAACACATCTCACCTAAACACTAGCAACAAAATGATTGTAATTGAATTCCCTATAAAGTTATCATAAGCAAAAAGTGAATAAAGAGTAGAACAATAGTACTGCAAGCAAACAAGTCATCCAGAAATGTATGTACAAATATAAATATATAATATTTTAAACAAGTTAAAATAATTTAAGGTGATAGTAGAAGCTATAAAAGTACAACCTAAATCATAACTTTCAAATCTCAGAAATGAGATGTTTGGGCAAGAGAGAGCTGACAGAGCAGAAAAATTAAAACTAATTATAAGATAAGTCAGGAATTAAGACAAACTGGAAGGAACACAAGAGAAAATAATCGTGCCATAAAAGAAATAGGAGATGAAAGGAAGAAAGTTTTAAAAACCAACAGGAAATGAAGACAGAAAAGATTAAAAGGATCTGAAAGAAATATAGAATACAGGCAAAGAAGCTTCAGCATACATATGAGTCAACAAAATATCTATAATTCAATAAAATTTCCTAAAATAAAAAGAAGGGTACATATTTAAAGGGCATTTTGTCTACCTGGAAAAAAAAAAATGAAACCAGGCAGTCAAACATCAAAACATTGTCTAGTAAAACTATCACCCAAAAGAATAGGGGATGTGGGGATTCAGACTAACAGACCAAGTCACTTATAAGGGGGAAAAATCAGATTGACCAGACAGTTTACAACAGCACTGTTTTATGCCAGAAGAAAATTGAATAACATCAAAGTGGCTCAAGAAAAGAAACTATGAACCAAGTAGTGTTTTTTGTTCTTGTTGTTGTTGTTGTTTTTGAGATGGAGTCTCACTCTGTCACCCAGGCTAGAGTGCAGTGGTGCAATCTCGGCTCACTACAACCTCCACCTCCCGGGTTCAAGTGATTCTCCTTTTTCAGCCACCTGAGTAGCTGGAATTATAGGTGCCCGCCACTACACCTGGCTAATTTTTGTATTATTAATAAAGACAGGATTTCACTATGCTGGCCAGGCTGATCTCAAACTCCTGATCTCAAGTGATTCACCTGCCTTGGCCTCCCAAAGTGCTGAGATTTCAGGCATGAGCCACCGTGCCCGGTCCAAGTATTTCATATCTAGGTATATTGACCTTTCAATATAAAACCACAAAAAAACTGTTGTGAACATATAAGAATTGAGTAAATATTGTTCCTATCAACACTTCCTAAGAATTCTAGAAAAGGAGTTTTTCTAGAATCTGGAGAGACAACTGCAAAATGACTGTTGTTGAGCATTAAATACATATTTACCTGTAATACTTATTTTTATTTAATTTTCATATTATTTTATAAATTGCTACTTTACTAAACTTTTGTTTACGATACTCTTCACATTGATTTTTGGAGGCTATTCAGATACATAATCATATTATCTGCAAGTAGATACAGCTTTTTTTTTTCATTTTAATTCTCATTTCTCTAATTACTCTGTCTTGTTTAAATTCATTGCCTACTACCTCTAACATAATATAGAGATGTGCAACCTTGCTGTGTTTCTCATTTTAGCAGGAAGTCCTCTAATGCTTGTCCATTAAGTAAAACTGGCTTTAGTAGTCTGAGGTATACATATTTTATCTTGTTTAGAAAGTATCCACCATATTCCATATTATTGAACTATTATTTAATTTTGTCAAATTATTTTTCTGCATCTATGGAGATAATCATATAATTTTTCTCCTTATTTGTATTAAAATGATAGAACATATTAGCTGATTTTCTCATGATGAGCTTTGCTTTGCATGGAAACAACTCATTTGGTCATAATGTATTATTTTATTAATTGGCTATTGGGTTCTCTTTGACAATATTTAGAATATTTTAATTGATGGCGATGAGTGCTATGATCAAATGCAAGTGTTCTCCCCAAAATCATGTGATGAAACTAACCCCCAAAGTGAGGTATTAAGAGGTGGGGGGTCTTTGGGAGGTTATTAGGTCATGAGAGTGGAGACTTCATGAATGGGATTCATGCCTTATAAAGGAGGCATGAGGTTGCCTGCTCGCCGCTTCTGCTATGTGAGGATACCGCAAGAAGTTGCCCTCTATGAGGAATTGTCCCTCGCTATACATCAAATCTGCGGTGCGTTGATTTCATACTTCTCAAGCTCCACAATGGAGAGCAATAAATTCTCTTCTTTATAATTTACCCAATCTAAGGTATTTTGTTAAAGCAGCCCAAAAGGAAAAAGACAGTAAGATTGACCTGTAGTTCTATTTTTTGGAGCAAATTTTGTCAGGTTTTGGGATCAATTTACTTCATAAAAAGAATTTGGAAGCTTTATTTTTAAACCATGTTTTGGAATAGTTTAAATACTGTTAGGATTAACTGATCTTTAAAGTTGTAGTAAATTCCTGTGTGAAACCATCTGGGCCTCATAGTGGAGTGTTGTTTGACTTTCCTATTTCTTATCTCTTAATTGGTCCATTTAGGCTTTCTACATCTACTGTTAAATTGTATTACACCATAAATTTACCCATTTCAAATTTATTTTCAGAGTGTAGTGCAAAGTAGTCTCATAATTTTTAAAGTTTTCTCTCCTCTGGACTTTTTTATTTCTAATTTGTGTATTCTTGAGCTTCCTCTCTTATTTCTTCATTAATTTGGAAAGTGGTTTGTCTATTTTGTTGATTTTTCCCAAAGAACCAGATTCTGAACTTATTTTTAGTACTCCTTTTTTTGTTTTGTTTTCTAATACATTATTTTCCCTTTTTATCTTTATTAATTCCTTCCTTTTTTGTTGCCTTTGTCATTCTCTAGATTTTTGTGTAAAGTATACCAGTCATTCACTTTCATTTCATTGGCATAGCTATTTAATGGTTTTGTAGAGACAGGAGTCTCGTTGTGTTGCCCAGGATGTGTTCTACTGTTCTGACATATTCATGGCAATAGAAGCACATTCTGAAGATCTAGCCTGATATAGAAACTAAGAACATTACAAACACATGAGAGACTGGTTGATTTAATAGTGTTACATTCATACTATAATGCAGCCATGAAAATAAATGAGTTAAATGTATACAGGTTGCCTGGCAGAAATTTCTACAAAGAGTTGTTTAGTGATAAAGCAAGATGCATAAAAGACTATATAATTTTCTCTAAAATAAACAGTGATAAGCCTTTAAACACATACTCAAATATAATTATATATCCAAGGAAAAGGACTGGAAGGGTAAATACATTAGTTACTTGGAGGAGAAGGGAGAGCAGGTGAAGACAAGTATATACACAGAAAATGTTTTAAAATATGACCAATAACAGTAATGACATAATCACATTTAAGATAAATTATAAATGTGTGAAAATAAATATAAAGAGAAACACAAAAAGATTGTCAGTAAAATGTGGAATCCTGATACCTCAAAATGATGTGATTTAAGATGTTTTTAACTTTGTTCATTATATATTTAAGAAAATAAGAAGATAATTAAAAATTTATGGTATGGGGAGAGCTTCTCATAGTTATACATGCTCATCCTAACTGTTTCTCATTTTTACCAACATATAATTATATATTTTCTATTATTGCCATCTATTTTCCTTATAGACTAAAAATCTCTCAAAGAGAAGTTGATTTTCTTAGTTGATAGAAGGTGATTTAACAATGATTTTTGTAATGAATATTATATAAGAATAAGTAATTCTACTAATCTCAAAAATGTTCAGAAATATACTAGCTTTCCACGAAAACTTGAATCCCACAATTTTATAGCAGTATGGTAAGCTTACTAATGATTCAGAGAAGTATCAAAAAGATAATTAAAGGACCTGAAAAATAAAATTTATGGGGCAAGTTTAGAGGAAAGTATTGTTTAGCAAAGTAGTTGACAAACTGAATCATATTTATATCTATAAAAGCTTCATACAGAAGAAGGAGGCCAGCTGGTTTTCATATCCATTAATGATGTAACCAGAAAAGGGGGTCGGGGGAGGAGGAAATTGCAGCAGATGAGACATGGACTACCTACAAAGACCCTTATGGCAAGATTTGTCAAACATGAGATGAGTTACTAAGACAGGTTGTGGGATTACTTCTTCCCTCTCCTAAGGGGTGCTTCCCTCATCTCTCTGGAATGGTTTAAATGCAATCCAGCCTTGAGAAGGGTGAATGCCTTCATGACTTATAGGCACTCCTTGTGCTGTATGTGAAAGACAAATTTAGACAAGGGTAAATTTAAAACTAAAACAATTACATTCCCTTCTATCACTCCCCACTCCGTGTCCAATATTTACAGGGATGTTTGCTGTAAAAGTTTATGAGGCAACATGGCAAAGACTGGCTCCATAAGGCAATTTAACAAAGAGAATGGACCATGGAACAGCATAGCCCTGGCTCTACTACACACAAATTTCAACATTGTGTCCTATAAACCTAATTAAAATGTTTTTGCTGGTCTCCTAAACAATTTGTTTTACTTTGGACCATTCTATTGATATGGAATTTTTTTTTAAAGACAGGGTCCCAAGTCTTTCACCAGGCTGGAGTGCAGTGGCACAGTCACAGCTCACTGCAACCTCAGTCTCCTGAGCCCAAGCTATTCTCCCACCTCAGCCTCTGGAGTAGCTGGGATTATAGTTGCACACCACCACACTTGGCTAATTTTTTTATGTTTTGTAGAAACAGGAGTCTCATTATATTGCCCAGGCTGGTCTCAAACTCCTGGGCTCAAGGGATCCTCTTGCTTTGGCCTCCTAAAGTGTTGGGATTATGGGCGTGAGCCATCATAACCGGCCTTGATATAGAATCTTAACAGTGGCCATACAGCGGGGCCTCTTTGCAAGATGACTGTATCTTATTTTGCAAACATATCTCATAAGTAGTCGCTTGTATTTATCATTTTGATTCTGAATATTAAGCATTAAGTAAATACTTGCCATAAAGTAACAATGAAGCAGAGATCAAAGATTATTCCATAGCATAAGCATGGGATAATCAAGTTAAAGGTGGGATAAGGATCAAGGATTCTCCACAAAGCAGTGTACAGAGACCTATGGAAAGCAGGCTGAGAAGTTAGTGAAGAAATTTAAAATGCCTTAGAAATATGATAGCTAGCGCCTATAGGTCCACTTTTTTTAAATTTTTAATTATGGTAAAAAAAACATATACACACAACATATAATGGACCATCTTAACTGTTTTTAAGTGTGATGTTTAGGAGTGTTAAAAACATTGACATTATTGTATGACAGATCTCCAGAACTTTTTTATCTTGCAAAACTGAATCACCGTACTTATTAAGCCAACTCCCTATTTTCCTCTCCCCCCAGCCCCTGGCAACCACCATTCTATTTTTTGGCTCTCTGTGTTTGACTATGTTAGATGCCTCATATAAGTAGTATCATATAGTATTTGTCTTTTCGTAGCTGGCTGATTTCACTTAGCATAACGTCCTCAGTTTTAATCCCTGTTAGAGCACGTGGTGGGATTTTCTTCTTAAGGCTGAATAATAATCCACTGTATATATGTACCACATTTTTTTATCCATTCATCCATTGATGGATATTTGAATATGCCCTCTAATTTTCTAAAATTCAGCATAAAGTATTTTAGGAAGTGTGTCAGTTATGATGCTATTATTTCTCAGCTTCAAACCAACCCTTCTATAAACTATTTCAGGCTATTGGACCTGAGACTCTGTGAATCCCATTTCTGCTTTGCAGGCTGACTCCCTGTTAGGTTTTGTCAGTAAGGGGGCGCAGGAAGAGTGCTACTGGGGGAGAAGGAAAGCACTGTCTCCTTGACCCTATTGCTTTTTGTACTCTTGCAGTTCCTGTGTCACCCGTGCAGTATACTGCACCAAGCAGGGCAGTTCCCTTCCGTGCAGTAGCAGCAGCTCAATGCAGTTTGCAGTTTTTCTAACACTTGCAGAGCCAGCCTTAGTGTACCCCCATCAGCGGACCAGGGTCTTTCCATCTGCCTGACTTTTACCTGTACAGGTCTCTCCTCCAAACTTCTGCCTTTCAGAAATTTCAACCTGTACCTTTTGCCCCCAGCCTTAGTGGAGGGCAGTAGCCTCTGAGATGGAACGGTGTTCTCTTTTTTCCTTTCCAGTTATCTTTCCATATGATTCTCTATATGAAATTCACACTGTCCAAATAACTTGTCTGGTTTCTCCCTCCTGACTCACCCAAACTGATAAATTATGCAAACATGCCACCTGAAATTCTCAGAACCTTCCAGAAAGCAAGAACAAGCCTGAGTGTAGCCAAATAACTGAACACATCTGTTTAATCATTCATAAGATGAAAGTGAAGATTATGGCACAGTGTGGTAAGCCTTATTAAAAGGAAATGCAGGTTGTTATGGGAAGTCAGACGAAGGGCTCAGAGACAGAGAGCAGTCAAAGACAGCCGAGGGAGGCCACCTTGCACCTATGCAGGAGTCAGAGTTCAGGACGGGCTGGGGACGCTTCAGGTCTGCACTCTCCACATCCAGATAGGAGGTCTGCACCATCTAGTGCTGCTTCTGCACTCTGCCGTCCCTCTCTAGGTGATTCTCTGTGGTCATCCCTGAAGTTACAAAAAAAGTGTGTGTGTGTGTGTGTGTGTATGTGTGTGTTCTCCTGTCTTCTTTACATTCTGAGTTCTACAAGACAGCAACAAGAACAACAAGGAGACTTTTGTCCTATCTTTATATCTCTTCCAGCCCCTGGGGGATGGGGGCAGACAGAGGAAACTTGAATAGACAGTCTAGGTCTCTGTGTGCTACAAAAATTCATTCAGATGGGAGGTGTGGATGAGCAATCACAGGGACAAATCCACAGGTGCTCATCAGAATAATAACGACATTTCCTACAGAAGGGCTATGTGCCAGGCATTGCCCTGATTGCTTCATATCCATTAACTTCTATTTTTCAAAAACATTAATATCATTATTATCATTACCACCATCTTACTGATGCTCAAAGAAATTAGACTCAAAGAGAGGTTAAGGAGCTTGCCTGGCCTCACACATGCAGGATTTGAACTGTTTTCTCTGACGCAAGAGGTTGCAGTGTTCTCTCTACTGCCCCTGCTACTGCTCATTTTTATTTTTTTTATTTTTAAAATTTTCTGTTTTTTTTTTTGTTTTTTTTTTTTTTGAGATGGAGTCTAACCCTATTGTCCTGGCTGGAATGCAATGGCACAATCTTGGCTCACTGCATCACTGCAACCTCCACCTCCCTGGTTCAATCGATTCTCCTGCCTCAGCTTCCCAAGCAGCTGGGATTACAGGTATGCACCACCATGTCTAGCTAATTTTTTTTATTTGGTTTGGTTTGGTTTTAGAAACAGGGTCTTACTACATTGCCCAGGCTGGTTTCAAACTTCTGGGCTTAAGGGATCCTCCTGCCTCAGACTCCCAAAGTGCTGAGATTACAGGCCTGAGCCACCGCACCCAGCCTACCCACCCATTTTTATAAATGAAAATAATTTTAATAAAGTATTCTGTCTACTGATTTATCTTCTATTCTTATACTGTTTTAGATATAATGTTTAAGAAATTTTTTTAAACCCTGCTGTTGGCTTTTAAATATAAATTGACTCTTGCTTGACAGTAGAAACTATTCAGTTTATGATAGTATGTATAAATATAAAATTATTTTTACATTAAACTTTTGGGAGTTAGACTAATAGAGATATTCTGGAGAGTAACATTCTGGCAGTACGTAGTCAAAAAAAAAAAGTGTGCACATACCCTATGACCCTACTATCCCTCCCTCTGGGTATCCATCCCACAGAACATCACACAGTCTAGAAGAATCTTCATTGGAGCTTTGTGGTAGTAGAAAACAAGCAATCTGGTTGTCCACCTTAAGGAAGTAGATAAGTTAAAAAGTAGGTAAGGGCTGTGTGTGGTGGCTCATGCCTGTAATCCCAGCACTTTGAGAGGCCAAGGGGGGTGGATCACCTGAAGTCAGGAGTCTGAGACTGGCCTGACCAACATGGCAAAACCCCATCTCTACTAAAAATACAAAAAATTAGCTGGGTGTGGTGGCAAGCTCCTATATTCCCAGCTACTCAGGAGGCTGAGGCAGGGGAATTGCTTGAACCCAGGAGGCAGAGGTTGCAGTGAGCCTAGATAGCACCACTGCACTTCAGCCTGGGTGACAGAGCGAGACTCCATCCCAAAAAACAAGAAATAAAAAATGTAGGTAAGTGTGGTGGATGCATATTACTGAGTTCTATGCTAGAAAGCCAAACAATTGCATTTCCCAGACTCTTTTGCAGCTAGAAGTTAAAATAGAAGTTAATGGATTGATGCTACTCTATCAGATGTATTTGTGTTGCTGTAGGGGCTTCTTAATCATAAGGGCCTTTTGGTTTGTGGCAGGGCAGCTTGATTCTGGCACCAGCAACTTCCCAATACAAGTAGCCTCTTGGTGGCCTTTGGGGGTTTTTTTGTTTGTTTGTTTCCTAGACAGGGTTTGGCTTTGTTAGCCAGGCTGGGGTGCAGTGGGTAAACTCAGCTCACTGCAACCTCCACCTCCTGTGTTCAAGTGATTCTTCTGCCTCCGTCTCCTGAATAGCTGAGACCACAGGTGTGTACCACCATGCCTGGCTGATTTTTGTATTTTTATGTAGAGATGGGATTTCACCATGTTGCCCAGGCTGGTCTCTAACTCCTGGGCTCAACCAATCCACCCATCTCTGCTTCCCAAAGTGCTGGGATTACAAGCTTGAGCCACAGCACCTGGCCACCTTTGGGTTCCTAAATCAATTTTTGAAGGTTCAATCTTTAACTTTCCCAATGATTCTGTAAGCTGATTACCCTATAATAAATTTATTTCTGTCCAAACTTAAGTAGAATTTCTATTCCCTGCCCTGACCAAAATAAACACCATTGTGTATCTTGAAAAAGAAGCCTTGGGAATAACTTGTCAGGACCTGAGAAGAGCAATCTGCCCCTCTGCAGCAGGGTAAGCAGGCTTTTGGATTTTTTTTTTTCTTTTGCTAAAAATAAGACTTTGTTGCCTAGCATGTTTCATGGCTAGTAAATTTATTGTAAAAAATAAAGCTTTTTAAAACTAAACATGCAATGATATCGCCTACCAGCTATATACACAAAATGCTTAGAAATATAGCCTATCTACAATAGTAGGCACAAATATGACTTTATTTATACTCATATCCTTGGTGTAAGACTTGCAGGCACCTCAAGTGAAACCTTGAATCATGTTTTGTTTTACTTTATACTCCTAGCTAAAATGGAATATACTTTCTTTGTTTGTGTAGTTTTACTTTAGCTTATATGAAGCTAACAGTGGAATTTGAGGACTCTCAAGGAAGCTTCTCATCTTCCCCTGCAGCAAAATCAGCAGCCATTATGCTGTATGGGATATATACTCTTTCCCTACTCTTACAAGGCATTTGCTTTCTTTTTCCAGCTAGAAACATTTTCACCATCTAAGGAAGGAGGGACCAGCCCTTAAAGCTAATGTTACAGAAGGGACCAGGATTGGACCAGCTGGAACTGGTGCTGGCAATGAAAGGAAGCCTCCATTCAATGGCAACAGTTTTCCAACACCTAGGCCTCAGGCCCCAACACTTATAATGTACCTGAACTTTGGGCACCATGGCTAGGCTGCTAGGCACTTTTTTTTTTTTTTTGAGACAGAGTCTTGTTCTGTTGCCCAGGCTGGGGCAGTTTTATATTTTTAGTAGAGATGAGGTTTCACTATGTTGGCCAGGCTGGTCTGAAACTCCTGACCACAAGTGATCGGCCCACCTTGGTCTCCCAAAGTGCTAGGGTTATAGGTGAGCCACCAAGCTTAGCCTTACCTCCATCCTTAATGGTGCAGTCAGCTGTACCTTGGGAAAGGAATTGTGAGGGGGGGGGTGGAAAGAAAACACCTGTTTTCATTTGCTAAATTACATCCGGAAAAAGGGAAAAGTTTAACCCTTAATATTCTAGAAAGGGAAAATGATAATACCAAACCCTAACATCATTGCTTTTGTTATTTAATTGTTAAATACAGAACTTGAGAATTAAAAATCTACACATAAGTGTCCACCCACTCCACTACTTATTAGCTCCAGACATTGGGCAAATCACTCAATGGAGGTTTCCATTGCCTCACTGTGGGGATAATTTCTTTCTGATCTAATCCCAGGATTGGAGCTGGGAACGTAAAACACTGTGTGTGAAGCCACCTTATGAACTTGAGGAAAATCATATCATTGTCAGGTGTTAGTGTAAAAATATGTTATGCTCTTGTCATCCATGTAATGACTACCAAGTTCCTAAAACAACATCTGCTCCCCAAACTATTGCTAACAGACATTGATCATACTTCTTTAGTAAATATTTATCAGACATAAGTGTCTGTTGAATGAACACATATGTGAATGACTACAGCTGTGCTCCAAGGAAGTGACTGATTGCAGTCATGCAGGGAGTGCATGTCACAATGTTGCACAGAGCCAGAAGAAAGGAAGGCAGATGCTTCTTTGCCTCATCATCTGTATCTCTCACTGAAAATACAGCAACTGAACTGTAATCACGTTCGAAATCCCTTGCAGGTGTTTCTGCTTGGCTCCTCTGCTCTAGCTCCAGTGACTTTCCACATTCTGGAATCTGTGGTGATGTTTGATAATCATATGTGGTGACAGTCATTAAATTAGGAAAGAGAGGAAAGTGTGTGTCATGACTGCTTCCAATGGCTCCAAAACATAAATCTTGCATCCACTATGACACTACAGCAGTTCAGTAACGGGTGCTATGGTAATACCCAGTGTCTTAATAGAATCACTGATGTTTTTTCCAAAGAGTCATTTCAACAGCATGGTGCATCTGTGTTAGTAAATGCACAGCCTTCTAATGCACGTAGATATAGCAGTTGCTGGGTCTGTGAGCAGCATAGAAACATCAACGAACTGGGAAAGAATTTTGTAAGATATGTATCCAGAAGCTTCTTTTCACTTCCTCTTTGTCTAGGGATACTGCTATGTTTGATTTTAAAGGTAGAAGATTCTCAAATAACACTGAAATATGAACTCAATGTTTATTTTTATACTCATAAAAAATCACTTTTCAGATTCAGTTAATTACAGTAATGACTAGTTACATGTGTAAAACACAGGGTCTGACTTGATTTTTCTTCCAAAATTTGAAGCAAACTTCAAGCTCTTGAAGTTATTTCTGGGCTAATGTTTTATAAAAGATTTCTTAAGACTTTACCATCCCAAAGCAAATAACATTAGAAATGAGAAATCTTGCCAAACTTTTTACATTTTGATGTAGACAATCCAACTGTCTGGAAAGTGTCCTCCCAAGGATTACATGAGACATATACTCTTTCACTACTCCAAAAAAATCTTCGCCTAATACATTTACCAAACTTTGGGTGGAAACTGTTTCTTAAGAAAACTTTTTCTCCAATAATAGCATATTCCCGTGCCCCATGGCAGGCCTACTAAATTAGTAACAGTGTGGGGAGGGCAGCGATCTTTGGTTTAACCAGTATATCAGGTGATTCCAACGCAGCAGTTCTCTAACTTCTCAAACTGTAGCCAGCCTGAGAATTTGCATGTCTATGAAGTTTCCAAGTGATGCTGCCGGTCTGGGACCACTTCTTTACAGCATTTTTTAAATCCTAGTTTGACTGTCTGACAAGTCAAAACAGGCTTTCCCAAGTAATTTGACTAAAATTATCAATCATTTAAAAAATCTCCTTTCTTTCACAGATGCAGTATGTAGTGAATAGATTTAAAAAAGCATTTTATCCTAAGAAAGCTCCCAATTGGTATTTTAATAATATTGTGCTTTTTGCAAACAACTGAGTTTTGAAACCCCTGTTTTGTTGCCATTTGGTGTCTATGGACACACCCCCTGTGAAGCTACTGAAACCTCTGTTTGGCTTTGTCACTTTCCACGAGTGGTAGACATTGGGAGAGGATAACACTTGATTCCAGAATCCCCCTAGTTTCAGGTACAAATTTGTTAAATGCTAAATAAGTGATTTCATGGTAGAATAAGGCTTCAGCAAAGTTGAGAACAAGGATGAGACAGCAAAATTCTAGCGGAGCATGATTCACATTGCTGCACAATGGTGGTGTCTGCAGTTGTGCTGTACACAGCCTGTACAGCCTCACTCAGTAACCCTCTCACCAGCTACACACATATACTTAGTACTTTCTTTTATTCATGGCCATTAGTTGACAGTGCCTAAAGTTAACCATCATACCCTCTGTCCTAAAGAGAGAGCTCTGATAATATGCTCATGACTTCATGCAATGTAGGATAACTACTCAACTTACATTTGAGAAGCTGACACTTTTGGGGGTGCCTGCCCAGCCACAGTCCCCTGTCTGAAACTGTCTTCTTACTCAGGGAAGTAAACTCTTACAGCCATATCCATACTACATGATCTAAACCTCTGGTCATAGCTAATTAGACTATGAGGAGTATCAAACAAAGAAAAAAGGCTAAACTGGCTGACTTGTGGCCAATAAAAATCTATCAAGAATTTGAATTAAGAATGTGGGGACTAAAAGTATTAGGAACTGAATCATCATCAGTGCGAAGCATTAGCAGTAAAGTCCAAGGAAGTGCTAAAGTTTCTGTACCTGGCTGGGATACCACTCTTTCTGAAGTCTGGTAGCTTCTGTTGATCTACAAGGCACTCTGTTCTTCTTTACTGGTTATATTACATTTATCTCCACTTTCCCCAGACCTATTTTCCCTGTCCCCTCTCTTTCCTGTCCTGGGAGCTGACGAAAGTACTCTGCATCACTCTGGTTCTCTTGCTACCTGACTTCCCTTGGAGTTGGCCAATGTGAGGCACTTGCAGGTCATCAGATGGTGGAAGAAAAAGAAACCAGAGTGTTGCTTCCCTACTCCCTTCCTTCATGCTTCAGTGCCTTCTCTGCTAGTAGCTGCATTCCTCTTCAACTACAACCCCTATCAGGCTATCTCTCTAGAAAGCTTTTAACTTTCACCAGGCTCTAGTAATATTATTTCTCCCTCCTCCCTTTAGCCCTAGAGGCGGTAATGATTTCACACTGTTGCTGGACTTTGGTTGCCTCACCATCCCTTGTTTCTTTAAACCTGCATTTCAGTTTTGGGCCCTCATCCTAAAATACACAATCCTGAATGCCATAATCCACAATGTTGAAATTTTTTTTTTTTTTTTGAGATGGAGTCTCACTCTGTTGCCCAGGCTGGAGTGCAGTGGTGCTATCTCAGCTCACTGCAGGCTCTGCCTCCCAGGTTCACACCATTCTCCTGCCACAGCCTCCCGAGTAGATGAGACTACAGGTGCCCACCACCACACCCGGCTAATTTTTTGTATTTTTAGTAGAGAGGGGTTTCACCGTGTTAGCAAGGACAGTCTTGATCTCCTGACCTCGTGATCCGCCTGCCTCAGCCTCCAAAAGTGCTGGGATTACATACGTGAGCCACTGCGCCCAGCCAACCCAAATGTCCAACAATGATAGACTGGATTAAGAAAATGTGGCACATATACACCATGGAATACTATGAAGCCATAAAAAATGATGAGTTCATGTCTTTTGTAGGGACATGGATGAAGCTGGAAACCATCATTCTCAGCAAACTGTCGCAAGGATAAAAAACCAAACACCGCATGTTCTCACTCATAGGTGGGAATTGAACAATGAGAACACATGGACACAGGAAGGGGAACATCACACACCGGGGACTGTTGTGGGGTGGGGGCATGGGGGAGGGATAGCATTAGGAGATGTATCTGATGCTAAATGACAAGTTAATGGGTGCAGCACACCAACATGGCACATGTATACATATGTAACAAACCTGCACGTTGTGCACGTGTATCCTAAAACTTAAAGTATAATAATAAAAAAAAAATCTTGAAAGATGAAAATCCCAAAAATATAATCCTGGAAAAAAATCTTTTTAATTATTTAAAAGACATTTATTTAAATTGTAAAAGGAAATTTAGTTGAAAAACATAAAAACACAATAGAAAGTTTCATAGGACACCTTGCACAAAATTGGCAATAACATACATATTTTTGCAATCATAAACACATAAGTATACTAACAGTCACACAGTTATGAGCAAACTGCATTCATAAAGAAATAGCCCTAAAAGCAAAATATATAAACACATATCACTGTGGTTAGTAATTGTGTGCACCCAGCTTTATAATTGCAGTAACATGAAATACTGTGATGCACAACTCCAGTCTTTTGATGAGATCAGTCAAAAACCTGGATAAGTTATCACCACATCACCACTGTGCCAGTAGCTCAAAGAGCCAAGATCTCTAGACATTTTATCTTTCATAAATACAGATATGCAAAAAGACATTTCTTCATTTACTGAGGAAGTTTCAACGTTTTCCATACATGCACAATGCTTACACACAAAGTCAACCTTGTGTTAATGCACTTTCATGGAGTCACATTTGCAAAAAAAAAAAAAAATGCATAAAATGAATTAGAACTCTCTAAAAGTCTATACATAATTTTACACCTCCAGTATTGAAAATGATGTGAAGATGAGATACCTGGCATAGCAAATTTTGAAAAATAACGCTGACAATTTAAAATAATGGACAAAGCTTTAAAAAAAAAAACCCTCTCAAAAAAAAAAAAACTAAAATGAAAATTTGACATAAGAAAAAGTGGATTACCAGACTAGCTTATGGGCAATCGCAGAGAGAGAATCTGTAAGAGCTAGCCAACTTTCACATCAACTGTTTTGAACTCCTGAATCCCAATGAATAGCTGCCTTTTTTCCTTTCACAGTGTGGCTCTCCTCAGAGAATACATTCACATTCATTTTCTTTCTTTCTTTCTTTTTTTTTTTTTTTTTTTGGAGATGGAGTGTCGCTCTGTTGCCCAGGCTAGAGTGCAGTGGCACAATCTCAGCTCACTGCAACCTCCGCCTCCCAGGTTCAAGCAATTCTCCTGTTTCAGCCTCCTGAGTAGCTGTGACTACAGGCACCCACTCCCATGCCTGGCTAATTTTTGTATTTTTGTAGAGATGGGGTTTCACCATATTGGTCAGGCTAGTCTCGAACTCCTGACCTCAGGTGATCCACCTGCCTCGGCCTCCCAAAGTGCTGGGATTACAGGCGTGAGCCACCACACTCGGCCTATTCACATTCATTTTCTACATGGCTCTGCTTTTTTGAAATTCTTCTACAATTCAATATACACCAATGTGAGCATTCCTTATTAAATTTTTTCAGCTTCTGTGCCATGCTTCTATGTTATTTTGGGTACTCAGAAATTCATTTTGCACGCACTCATATACAAAGCACAAATTTGGCAGAAACAATAATGGTGATGGAACAGCAACACCATTGCATAACGTGTCTTTTTATCCTACTATACACATAATTGTTTTCTTTTGTCTTTTTTTTGTGTGTGTGACAGAGTCTTGCTGTGTTGCCCAGGCTGGAGGGCAGTGGCACAATCTCGGCTCACTGCAACCTCCGCCTCCTGGGTTCAAGTTATTCTCCTGCTTCCTGAGTAGCTGGGATTACAGGCATGCACCACCGTGCCCAGCTAATTTTTGATTTTTTAGTAGAGACGGGGTTTCACCACATTGGTCAGGCTGGTCTCGAACTCCTGACCTCGTGATCCACCCGCCTCGGCCTCCCAAAGTGCTGGGATTTCAGGCATGAGCCACCGTGCCTGGCCACATAATTATTTTCAAACCAGTCAGTAACTTCATTGGCTTCTTCAGGCAAATGTGGCTTTAACTTATTAAAAGCTCTTAGAATGTCATCAGCTGGAAGAAATGCTCATTCAGAAAAATGACACATTTTTAAACTGAAGTTTCCATCATTGCTGTGTCATGTGGCCAATCCACTCATCTGAATTTTCTGCCAAATTCATTGGAATGAACAGAAAAAACAACTTTTTGGTAACACTTTGAAATTTGCTTTTGGAAGCCTTGATTGCACCTGATTCCAAATCTGTCATTATCATTTGGGGACTCTCTGAAATTCATTTTCTTCTGCAAATTTCACCAACTCTTCAAGTAAGAGTTTATAAACTGCTTCTCTTTTTCTGTTGATACATGAACAAGCAAAGAAGTTATAGAATTTTTGGATCCTACAGGGCCATGAATTGCATATAGTTGACAAAAAATATAGTAAGGACCATTTTTTTGTTTCTGTTTTTGTTTTTTTTTTTTTGAGACAAAGTCTTGCTCTATCGCCCAGGCTGTAGTGCATTGGCGCAATCTTGGCTCACTGCAACCTCCGCCTCCCAGATTTAAGCGATTCTACTGCCTCAGCCTCCAGAGTGGCTGGGATTACAGGCGGGCACCACCACACCTGGCTAATTTTTGTATTTTTAGTAGAGACAGGGTTTCACCATGTTGGCCAGGCTGGTCTCAAACTCCTGACCTCAAGTGATCCACCTGCCCAAAGTGCTGAAATTTCAGGCGTGAGCCACCCTGCCCAGCCGAGTAGGGAGCATTTTTAAAGTGCCATCCATTAATCAGAGTGAAGCATGCACTAGTTTTTCTATGTTAGATTTAGTGTTATGAATTAAAAAGTCTATCTTCTTCAACAACTTCTAACATAAAATAGTTGGTTGTTTAATGTGTTTTTTAATATTAGAAAAACCTCTATGTCAGCAAGTGTCTTTAGTTCAGAAGGTCACTGATCCTGTCAAATTCTTTTTATTCTCTAATGAAGAATGATTTTTGAAGGCAAGCATGGCACTGTGTGTGAAGAGACATGATTGAATAATTTGGCAGGGGAAATTTCTTGTATGTTCTGCCTGTGTTTTCACTTCTATGACCTTCAAAACACTCATTGCACTTGTATTTGGAGAGTGGTTGTGGCCTTTAAATCTTGTAAAGTCTCTGCTGCCCATTTGAAAGCCTGATTATTGCTCAGCGATTCCAATTAAGCAATTTTCTGCTTTCACGACACCAATAATGATTAAGACAGTGAGCCTGGAGTTCTGATGTCCAAGGCAACAGAAGAAAAGTCTGTCTCGGCTCTGAGAGAGAGAGAATTGTGCCTTCTGAATTTGTTCTCTCCTGGCCCCCGGCTGATTCGATGGTGCCAGGCTACATTTCCAACATCTTCCCCATCTAATCCACTCAGATTCACACACTAATCTCCTCCGGGAACACCCTCACAGACACACCCAAAAATTATGTTTTACCGGGTCCCTAGATATTCCTTAATCCAATCAAGTTGATGCCTAAAATTAAGTCTGAAAGTTCACCCCTTGTCAACTGAGCACCCATATGCATCTCCTTAAACTGTACTTAATTTCCAAGTAAAGACAATAACAGGGTAATAGTTCCACCTAATATGATGCAACTAACATGATGCAACTATCAGGCAACCAGAAATGCACTAACCTCTTCCCCAGAATTCAGCTTTTAGGATTTCAACATTCAGGATTTTAATATTTTAGAATTGTGATTTTCAAAATTTTAGACATTAGAGATTTTAGAGTTTAGGGATTTTTGTCTTTCAGGATTTCAACATTGGGATTATGGCATTCTGGATTGTGTCTTTCAGAATTATAATCAGCAATGCTGAACCTCTGTAAGTGTTCTTCTCATTAATATTTATTTGAACCATATGGGTGAATTCTATTTCCTGCTGGAAGCCAGACTGACACCTTCCAATACAATTTCCTGTTACTACTAGAAGTAGAATTTGTTTAAATTGGTTATGATTGAGCTGTGGCAGTTGCAAGCAAACATTACTTAACTAAGATATGCTGCCTTTTACAGGGGATTGAAAATTCCAAAAGATATCACTTCCAGGTAAACATGGTAGATGTATCTCCTTTGCATCAAAAATTCCATTGAATGACAGAATTAAAACATTTAACAGCAGATCCAGAATTTCATTTGTGCTGAAGAAATGTAACCAGGATCAGCAGAGGATGAGACTTAGAAAGTGTGGCTGAGCTCAGGAGGATTGTGTAGGAGTCTGAACATCTATTCAGCCTCCAGAATTCCAGCAGCCAGAAGGGATTGGAGATTTCTCCTCTGGAGAAAGTGACCTACTCAGAGAGAACACACTCAAATACTGACAACTGGAAATCTAACAAAGGGCTGGATGCATGCCTGTTCACCACAGAGAGAACCCTGCAGGTTGATGAGCCTCACTGTTACACCCTGGAAAACGTCTTCTTAGTCCCCTGTTCTGTGATGAGTGAAAAGCCAGAGCAGAACCACTCTTGGGCCTGGACAGGAGTAGCCCCTTCCCTAGCCCTCCATTTTAGAGATCCCCATATATCTTTAGCACAAAATTTAATTTATTAAAGAACACAGTCACTCTGGACTTATCACAAAGCTAGTATAATGGTCTATAACCTTAAACATGCCCTCTAAATATCTTGAATGAAAATTAACTTTTTGACAATATACATGAAAAATAAAATTTTTACTTCTTTTACATTCACTTTAACTTAAATATTCAATTAAAATGTTATTGTCAATAACAAGTTATATAAAAATCTTCCTTATGACATATTTAGTGTATTTGCTTAGAGGCAAGAAAAATAATTTATAGAATATATAAATTATTATCTAAATATATTCTCTAAATAGATATATATTATATAATATCATATTACATTATATATTATATATCATATTACATTTTATAAATATAATATATAAATTATTTTATTGCTCATCTACACATCTATAGATCTGTAGAACACCCAGAAATGAGCTATAATAATTAAATTCAATTGTCTTTGATGCTCTGATGACTTCTAGTCCTACAAAAGCTAGCTTTACATAAATTTTTAATTATTATTATTATCATCATCATTGTTTGGAATTATACTTGTCAAGATAGGAGAATTGCAATCTGTTACCTTGAATCATAATTTTTAAATATTTAGGTATATGATATATAGGCTTACATTTGTATCTTGTACTGGGCCCCACAAATATTAGGGGCAGGCCTGAACCATAATTCCCAGGATGTTTGAGGAAAGTCTCAATAGAAAAATGAAGAAAGAATATAAAACAAACAAAGGAAAGAGATTTCCCAGGTATAAAATAAATGCAGATGTCTGAAGAAAACTCCAAGAAATCTATATGATTAATTAATAATCTCAGAAAGAGAAGAGAAGCCATTGTATCCCATTTAGAAAACAGATCAGGATCATTTTTATTTATTTTTGGAATTCAGAGAATAAGAAATATCTCATGGAAATAGAGATGGCCAAAATAAAAATTTTAAACTATGTACTGGTCAAAACTCAACAGTAAAACATAATTCAATTAGAGCATGGGCAAAAGATATGAACAGACATTTCACCAAAGAATATATACAGATGGCAAACAAGCACATGAAAAGATGTCCAACAGCATTAGATATTTAATTTGTATTAATACAAATTAAGTGCCAAATGCAAATTAAAACCACAGTAAAATACAAATTGAAACTACAATGAGATGTCACGACATACCTGTTGGAGTGAATTAAATTTCAAAAAGTGTGAAAAATCAAATGCTGGTGAGAGTGTAGAAAAACTAGATCATTCATACGATACTGGTGGGAATACAAAATGATACATTACTCTGGAAAATAGTTTGATAGTTTCTCGTAAAACTAAACATGCAACTACCATACAATCCAACATTTGTATTCTTAGGCATTTATCCCAGAAATATGTAAAACTTATGTTCACACAAGAATCTGTACAAGAATTTTCATAGCAGCTTTATTCATAGTAGCCCAAAACTATCAGCAACCCAAACATTTTTCAACAGTTGAATGGTTAAACAAACTGTGGAACATCCATGCTATGTAATACTACTCAGCCATAAAAAGGAACAGACAAATGGTACACAAAACAACTTGCATAAATCTCAAGGGAATTATGTTGAATGAAAAAAAATTAAAAATTTATCTACTTTATAACTTTGTGTATAACATTCTTGAAATAAGAAAATTATAGAACTGGAGAACAGATTAGTGATTGCTAGGGGTTAGTCTGAGCATTAGGGAAGGGACGTGAGTGTAGTTATAAAGGCCCAGTTAAAGGATCCTAGTAGTGATGGAAATGTTCTGATCTTGACTATTTCAATATCCTGGTTGTGATATTGTACTACGGTTTTACAAAATATTACCATTGAGAGAAACTGGGTAAAGGGTACACAGGCTCTTTGTTTTATTCCTTAAAATTGGACACAGATCTACAATTATCTCAGAATAAAAAGCTTAATTTAGAAGTAGAATAAATATATTCTCAAATATGCACAGATTTTCTAGAAAATAAATTGCTAAGCACCTTCTACAGAAAACTACCAGCAAGCTATGCAACAAATCAAATGAATATATAAAGGAAGAAATAGAAGATATAGTATATAGGAGACTCAACATAGGTGATCAGCAGCGAGAAATTCTAAGATGATGGTTAAAGAAATCTCAGGTTACCTGCTAAGAAGGTCATGAAAGCATGCATTATAGAATGGAGAGAAGAACTGATGACTTGGAAGGAAGAGATCAAGCAGGAGAGGAGGGAGGGAGAACTGATAGATTTTATTTAAACATATTATTTGAAATATAGTATTGACAGACAAATCTGTTCCAATTTGGGGCCTAATTAGTAATAGGTTGCTATGGTCAGAATGCTTATGTTTCCCCAAAATTAATGTTAAAAGCAATTACCAATGGGATGGTATTAGTAGGTGGGTGGGGCATTTGGGAGGTGATTGGATCATGAGGGCAGAAGTCTCATGAATGGAATTAGTACTCTTATAAAAGAGGTTTCAGAGAGCTAAATAGCCCTGTCCACCATGTAAGGACAGAGCTACAAGGTACCATTTATAAACCAGAAGCAGATCTTCATCAGAAACTGAATCTGCTGGTGCCTGAATCTCAAACTTCCCAGCCTCCAGAACTGAGAAGTACATTTCTGTAGTTTATGAGCTATCCAGTTTATGATATGTTGTCATAATAGCCCAAAAGAAATAAGACATAAGTATATTTTCAAAACTGAACATGTGAAGAAATGGAAACAGTTAAGTCCAGAAAAAGAGTTATGAAAAAAGAGAATAACACTGTAGTATTTGACTAGCAGAGACTAATATTAAATGGCCAAAATTATTCAAATAAATACTGGCTATAGAACAACTGTGTTGTAACTATATTGGGTCCAGATAGGTGGAAGAGAATTGGAAGTGACAGTTACATAAATACTAAATACTAAATTCTCATCTACTAATAAAATATAACAAATTATGTCTACAATTAACAACAAGAAGAAGTGACAATTCAAGCATTTTATTTTAAAATGTGGAGTAGTATCACAAGAAATAGTTAAAAATGTTGAAAATGGTTTATTCATTGGTGAGTGGGACCAGGGGGTGTGTGAATGAGGCAGTGGAATGGCTTGGGAGGAAGATGGAAATAGTAAGTAATTTTCTCATTGACTTCAAATTTGTTATATATCCTTAAATGCTATATACCTTTCTAAAACATGTGCTTATTTGACTCAGACAAAGTTAAACTCTGTTATGGAGCTCCATGTTTATGTGGAAGTGTTTTAGCCCCACCATTCTTTCAGTTATTAAAGTACCTCTGTTCCCATTTGTTTTATATACTGAGCTTCTATTTGGATTAATTTTAAGGCATTTTTTTCTGTTAAAATATAAATGAAATGAAAACCTAAATAATATAATCTAACAAAATAATAGTGTAATTAAATAAAATAACAATAGAAAATAATAAAGTACACTTGGAAAGTACCACGTTAAGGCAAAATAATAAATTTCTGATTATAGGATGTTATGTATCAGAAATAGGCTAGTGAAGAGATCATTTGAAGGTGATGGGTGATTTTTCTTGTTCTTGTTGTAGGTCAACCTACACTGGCAATAGACAGAGCAAGCCCTACCTAACAGTGAAGTTATAATTCTTCTTAGGAAGGAAAATATTCCCTTCTACCTTTGTTCTTATAACAACCAAATCTTATCAATGCATTTACAAATTAAGATCTCTTAATTGCAACTGTCATAAGCTCCGTTTAAATTAGCTTAAGAGTTATTCCAGCTTTCTTGTGATCAGTTAAAAAAATTAACTTAAGGGGAAATAAAGTGGAACTTACTGACTTGTGTAACTGAACAACTTAAAAATAAATTTTTAGGCTAAGTAGATCCAGGAGCTCAAATATCAGGCATCAGCAACAGATCTTACTCTCTTCATCCTTTAGGTTTACTGCTGTATATTGGCTTTATTCCAAGGCAAGTCCTCTACTCACAGAATGGAACTCCAAGCTGATAGCCAATAATCTCAGTAACCCCAAGAAAGAGCCACTCTTTCAAAACAACTTCACAAAAGTTCCAGATTAGTTCTGACTGAATCAATTTAAGTCATGTGTCCTTCCATAAATCAAAGCCCTCTAGATCCACATGGAACGCTATAAATGGGAAATAAAAAGAAGGAGCCATGCAAATTCTTTGGCAGCATCATTCCTGCTGGGCAGGTACCAATCCAGGAACTGGATGCTGAAAAAGGATACAACTTACTCTGCCCTCTATGTGAGTAAAGGTTGAACAACTTGCGAGGGTGATTCCACTCCCTACTGCCCCTGGATCCTCAAGCAAGGCCTCAGTAATGGAGGCTAAATTTTGCCTGTTGGCTAAGTTGTCTTAGATGATAACTTGGAGGAGAACTGCTTTCCAAAGAAAGTAAGTGACCTGCCTGAGGAAGGTTCTATTAATTTGAGAGTTGTTTGTTTGTTTGTTTGTTTGTTTAATGCTTGGGTGGGTAGCATTATTATTTTTAAGCCTTTAGGTTCAACTTACAATTTCTTTAAATTGTTATGAATCTAATAATTGTTATATTGTTAAATTAAATAAGCAGGAGGCCATTGGCCCAAAGTGTTCTCCATACTTTGAGTTCCTATGTAACAAAACACAGCTAACATAGGATGTAAACAAACTGAAAACCTAACTGAGGAGTATAACAAACAACAGAGTCCAGCCAGTGAGCAGCTGAGCCTCAGCCAATCACAGGCAGCCAGGTGATCAGACCATATCCAAAAAGGCAAACACCTAGCTTAAGCAATCAAGCTATTTCTGTACTATATTTCTATACTTTACTTCCATGTACCATCTGTAAACACTCATTGTGCACTTTGCAGAGCAGAGCTCTCTGAACCTCTTCTGATTCTAAGTGGTGCCCAATTTATGAATCATTTTTTGCTAAAATGTTAAATTTGTCAAAAGTTTTCCTTTTAACATATTAAAGTTTCACATTTGATCAATAATAAATTAACTGACAAGGCAATTTATAAAAAAGATACCTACCAAGACTAAACCAGGAAGAAATTGATTTCCTGAACAGACCAATAACAAGTTGAATGAGGAAACTGAATCAGTAATAAATAACCTAACAACAACAACAAAAAGCCTAGGACTTGATGGATTCACAGCTGAATTCTACCAGATGTACAAAGAAGAACTGGTACCATTCCTACAGAAGCTACTCCGAAAAATTGAGGAGGAGGGACTTCCCCCAACCCAGTTCATTCCGTGAGGTCAGCATCCTCCTGATACCAAAACCTGGCAGAAACACAACAAAAAAAGAAAACTTCAGGCCAATATCCTTGATGAACACTGATGCAAAAATCCTCAACAAAATACTTGCAAACCAAATCCAGCAACGCATCAAAAAGTTTATCCACCACGATCAAGTAGGCTTCATCCCCAGGATGCAAGCAAGTTTGGTTCAACATACACAAATTAATAAATGTGATTCATTGCATAAACACAACTAAAGACAAAAATCACATGATTATCTCAATAGATGCAGAAGATGCTTTCGATAAAATTCAACATGCTTCATATTAAAAGCTCTCAATAAATTTGTATTAATGGAATATACCTCAAAATAACAAGAGCCATCTATGACAAACCCACAGCCAACATTACACTGAATGGGAAAAAGCTGGACGCATTCCCCTTGAAAACCAGCACAAGACAAGGATGCCCTGTCTTACCAGTTTTATTCAACATAGTATTGGAAATCCTAGCCAGAGCAATCAGGCAAGAGAAAGAAAGAAAGTACATTCAAATGGGAAGAGAGGAAGTCAAACTATCTCTGTTTGCAGACGACATGATTCTATATCTACAAAACCCCATATTCTCGGCCCTAAATCTCCTTCAGCTGATAAAGAACTTTATGAAAGTTTCAGGACAAAATCAACAACAAAAATTACTACCATTCCTATACACCAACAACAGCCAAGCTGAGAGCCAAATCAGAAAGGCAATCCCGTTCGCAATTACGACATAAAGAATAAAATACATAGGAATACAGCTAATCAGGGAACTGAAAGATCTCTACAATGAGAATTACAAAACACTGTTCAAAGAAATCAGAGAAGACACAAACAAATAGAAAATCATTCCATGCTCATGGATAGGAAAGATCAGTATCATTAAAATGACCATACTGCCCAAAGCAATTTACAGACTCAATGTTATTCTTATCAAATTACCAATGATATTCTTCACAGAAGTAGAAAAAACTATTTTAAAATTCATATGGAAACAAAAAAGAGCCCAAATAGCCAAGGCAATCCTAAGCAAAAAGAAAAAAGTTGAAGGCATCACATTACCTGACTTCAGACTATACTACAGGGCTATAGTAACCAAAACAACATGGTGCTGGTACAAAAAAACAGGCTCATAGACCAATGGGACAGAATAGAGAGCCCAGAAATAAGGCCACACACCTACAAATACCTGATGTTCAACAAAGCTGAAAAAAACAAGCAATGGAGAAAAGACTCATCTCCACTAGTGCTTAAATATTTTTGTTGTTAAAAATGGAGAGGATTTACCGTCTCAACAAAACTGAGGTGGTTGGGTGGAAGGCCTGGGATGGTGATAGGTGCCTTATCTGTCAAAAGTTCTAGGCCAGGACATGGGATCTGAGGTAAATTACAGGATGAGTCTACTTAAGCCACAGGTGAATACTATGAGCCCTTTTCTCATAGTTATTCACAATCTGTGATGTCAATGAGCAAACCTAAGTCCACACCTTTTAGTTAAAATGTATTTTGCCAACCAAGTCAATATGCAAGGTATCTGTCAAGTTTTACCTTTACCAGTGTTTGCTGTTCCATTTGGGTAGAATTCTGGGCTTCTTTATTGCAAAACTTTATTTCACCACTATCTGTTTATTGAACAATAAAATTATATATTCTTTTCATATTCACTTGCCTGCTTATGGTCATTCTATTGACAGTTATGAGTGCTTAAAAGAGAAAGAGAAAAAATGCAGAGCTGGAGGTAACTGTGCTGTCCTTCTCATTCTCCCTCATGTCTACTAGGACCACTCTAGTAGACATGGGGTAGGGGGTGCAGAAAGAGGCAAACGTAGCTCTACCCAGTAATGAAACACTGCCAATGTCCTCTGTACCTTGATGCTTGTGGTGGTCCCAGCCTGCCCACCTGCTTCTCACTTGTGTATGTACTGTCCAAGAAAACCTGCCTTGATTATTCAGACCTCAAACAACCGTTTGCTCAAGACATAGAGGTATAAACATGTGAAAATTATGATAACTACTAGAAGACCTAAAAACAGAGAGGGCGGGTTAAATTGGAATACAGAAGGATTACAAATATTTTAGTTCATTTTATGTCCTACATGTCATTTTCCCCATGGTTAGCATATAGTACATAAATAATAAAAAGCTCCAAGAGGGTTGATACAAAGTCAGTTTTGTTCACTGCTTTATCCCCAGTGATTGGCCCACAGCATATGCTGAATGGGTGAAAGATTGGGTGGATGAATAGGTAATGAGCCATTCACACAGTGAAACACCACACAGCAATTAAAGCAAATAGTTAAATCTCTGAATTGATATGAAAATATGTTATATTGTTAGTGTTTTGGATGCAAATAACAGAAAAATTCCCAAATCAATAAGACATGTAAAATAAAAAATTCTCATATAAGGAGTTCCTAAGGAGAGGAGCTATAGTTAAAAAAAAAAAAAAAAAAAAATTCCAGGCCAGGCATGGTGGTTCATGCCTGTAACCCCAGCACTTTGGGAGGTCGAGGCAGGAAGATCATCTAGGACCAGCCTGGGCAACAAAGTGAGACCCCGTCTCTACAAAAGAAATAGAAAAAAATTAGCCAGGCATGGTGGTGCATGCTGATAGTTCCAGCACCTCGGGAGACTGAGCTGGGAAGATCACTTTAGCCCAGGCAGTCAAGACTGCTGTAAGCTGTAATCATGCCACTGCACTCCAGCTTAGGCAACAGAATGAGACCCTCTCAAAAAAAAAAAAAAAAAAAAGAAATCCAGCTTCTATTCATGTTTCCAAGGAGTCAACAGCAGCACAACAATCTGTCCTGAGGCTGGCTCTCCTCATGTTACAAGGTAGCTGCTAGAGTTCCAGTTGTCACATGCCAGTATAGCTGTGTCCAGAAGAAAAGGGGTTGTCACTTTTAATTTTTTATTTTTATTTTAGAGATGGGGGTCTTGCTATGTTGCCCAGGCTGGTCTCAAATTCCTGAGTTAAAGAATTCTCCCTCGCTTCCAAGTAGCAGGGACTACAAGCACACACCACTATGCCTAGACTTGCGTCACATTTTAGGAGAAAGAAAACCTTTTCTACACTTTCTAATTGACTTCCCTTCATCTCTCATTGACATTGCAAACACTCATTCCTAAATCAGTCCCTGGAAAAAACAATAAAATTGTCACAAATAGCTTGGTGAAACACATGTTCCTGTGGTAGAGAGATGAGTATCTGAACCAAATCAGAATTCCCTATCAAGGGTGAAAGGGAGAAACGGCCTTTGGCTATGCCACAAGCAGTTCCTGCCATAGATGTCTGCAATGCTATGAGTAGAAGAAATGGCTTGTAAAAAAAATGTATAATGTCATTCCCATGGTGTTAAAAGTAGATATATAGATATTTATAAATGTGTACTGTATAAATATGTATAATTTAATGCATAAATTTACAATATTATAAATATTGTAAATATAGATATTTATAAATATATTATAAATATTGTAAATATAGATATTTATAAATATATATAATTTATAAATATATAGAAAGACACATTCTGTTTTTATATTTCTTTTAATACTTTGGGTTTTGGGTTTTGGTACAGTGAATATATATATATTCCCTATATGGTAAACAAAAATATTCTGTTACAAAATCTAAAATCCTTTGTCCTTTGTTAGATTTATTACTAAGTATTTAATTCTGTGAGTGGTATATTATTTTAAAAAAATTATATCCTGTGTTTGCTGCTTGTATCTTTTAGAAAGAGTTTAATAGTCTTACTACTCGTATCCTATAATCTCCCAAACATTCCTCTACCTACTGAAATATAGTTTTCAACCCTGATAGTTCTTCCTCAAAGCAGGAATATCCTCCTTAACCCACACCTTACACTTCATAGAATCCTTTCACCTTGAGGATCATTTCCACTTTCTGGAAATACTCTCTTCCTTTCAATTCTGTGACTACTCTCCTACATCTCTGGCCTTTCTTTTCAGTTTCCTTTGTGAGTTCTCTTCCTTTGTTCATTCCTTAGGTTAGTAATTCTCAGCATTGTTGCCCTAAACCCCCTTCTCATTCTGCATATTTTATGTTGGCAATCTCTTCTTCATTCATGACTTTACATATTATTTATAACCAAGTGACTACTAACTGTGCATCTTCTGCTCTGTTATTCCAGGAACTATGCCAGAGACTGTTGATGTTCACCAATATCCATATTCTCATCTTAGTTCTCAGACACAAGCTAGAATGTATTTTTCAGCCATTGTGAAAAATACATTCTGAACATTGTGCTGTTCAGAGTGATTATGTGATGTTACTCTGGAAGTAAAATTGCTACTTCTAGGGCTGGCCCATAAAACCCTCCCATGGGCAATACTCATTCTGCCGGGTGAATAAAAGAATTTCAGAGACCTGGACAAAAGTCCTAGATGAAAGGAGCCTTAATTATCATATGGAACAGATTCCTATTCTACCACTCCCACCCACACTGGACTTTTAACTGACTGTGAAATAAGCTTTTATTGTGTTTAGTTTAACACAGCATTCTCCCCTTAGTCACGGTTTCGCTTTCTGTGGCTTCAGTTACCCACAATACAACAATACAATACAATTTGCTATTTGGAGAGAGAGAGAGAGAGAGAGAGAGAGGGAAAAAGAGAGAGAGAGACCACATTTATATAACTTTTATAACAGTATATTAATTGTTCTATTACTTTTGTTGCTAATCTCTCACCATGCCTCATTTATAAATTAAACTTTATCATAAGTATATATGCATAGGAAAAACATAGTATATATAGAATTCCATACTAACTGTAGTTTCAGTGGATACTGGGGGTATTGGAACGTATCTGTCATGGATAAGATGGGGACTACTGTACTAAAGGGTTGTCTGTTTTAATAACTAACATTATTTACCTTAACTAATAGAGACCCACATATTTAATTGCTTCCACAGCTTTGTTAAATACAACCAGACACAAAACAAGCTCATCATCTTCCTCTTCCCTACAAACCTCCCACCTAACCTTCTCCTATAGCTCTGATCTCTCTTAGTTATTACCTCATCCACCTAATTTTTAAAAAGGGACATCTGTCAATATCGAATCCTTCCTCTTCTGTGTTACACAAGGCTAATTATCAAGAGCTCTCTGGAATCTAACTACTTTTCTCTATGCCCACTTTTGACACTTTCATTCCAGGCATCATCACCTGGCTCGATTACTGCAATAGACTCCTGATTTTCCTGCTTATATTCTTGCCTTTCTCCAATTTGTCCTCCATACTACAATCAGATTTGTCTTGGAAAAGTATAAGTGTAATCATGTTACTATTCTCCTCGATATTCTGAGAATAAAGCTCATCCACCTTAGCCAGGCTTAAAAAGTCCTATATTAACCATTCCTTATGTATCTCTAGCCCCATCACCTCTGCCACTTTTTCTTATACTCAATCCTCTACCATGCTGAATATTTTTCTGTTCCTGGAACATATTATAAACTTTGTTCTTCTCTCTGCTACTGCCTATTAATGTGAGTAATTATGTGAGTAATGTATGTATAATGTTATTATTACATTATTACACAGTATGTAATAATGTGTGTAATAGTGGTGACAACATTTAATTTTTTTTTATACTTTAAGTTCTAGGGTACATGTGCACAAAGTGCAGGTTTGTTACATATGTATACATGTGCCATGTTGGTGTGCTGCACCGATTAATTCGTCATTTACATTAGGTATATCTCCTAATGCTATCCCTCCCCGCTCCCCACACCCCATGACAGGCCCCAGTGTGTGATGTTCCCCTTCCTGCGTCCAAGTGTTTTCATTGTTCAATTCCCACCTATGAGTGAGAACATGAGGTGTTTGGTTTTTTGTCCTTGTGATAGTTTGCTGAGAATGATGGTTTCCAGCTTCATCCATGTCCCTACAAAGGACATGAACTCATCCTTTTTTATGGCTTCATAGTATTCCATGGTGTATATGTGCCACATTTTCTTAATCCAGCCTATCACTGATGGACATTTAGGTTGGTTCCAAGTCTTTGCTGTTGTGAATAGTGCCACAAGAAACATACGTGTGCATGTGTCTTTATAGCAGCATGGTTTATAACCCTTTGGGTATATACCCAGTAATGGGATGGCTGAGTCAAATGGTATTTCTAGTCCTAGATCATTGAGGAATCACCACACTATCTTCCACAATGGTTGAACTAGTTCACAGTCCCATCAACAGTGTAAAAGTGTTCCTATTTCTCCACATCCTCTCCAGCATCTGTTGTTTCCTGACTTTTTAGTGATTGCCATTCTAACTGGTGTAAGATGGTATCTCATTGTGGTTTTGATTTGCATTTCTCTGATGGCCAGTGGTGATGAACATTTTTTCATGTGTCTGTTGGCTGCATAAATGTCTTCTTTTGAGAAGTGTCTGTTCATACCCTTCACCCGCCTTTTGATGGGGTTGTTTGTTTTTTTCTTGTAAATTTGTTTGAGTTCTTTGTAGATTCTGGATATTAGCCCTTTGTCAGATGAATAGATTGCAAAAATTTTCTCCCATTCTGTAGGTTACCTGTTCACTCTGATGGCAGTTTCTTTTGCTGTGCAGAAGCTCTTTGTTTCTTTTGCTGTGCAGAAGCTCTTTAGTTTAATTAGATCCCATTTGTCTATTTTGGCTTTTGTTGCTGTTGCTTTTGGTGTTTGAGACATGAAGTCCTTGCCTATGCTATGTCCTGAATGGTATTGCCTAGGTTTTCTTCTAGAGTTTTATGGTTTTAGGTCTAACATTTAAGTCTTTAATACATCTTGAATTAATTTTTGTATAAGGTGTAAGGAAGGGATCCAGTTTCAGCTTTCTACATATGGCTAGTCAGTTTTCCTAGCACCATTTATTAAATAGGGAATCCTTTCCCCATTGCTTGTTTTTCTCAGGTTTGTCAAATATCAGATGGTTGTAGATGTGTGGTATTATTTCTGAGGGCTCTGTTCTATTCCATTGGTCTATATCTCTGTTTTGGTACCAGAACTATGCTGTTTTGGTTACTGTAGCCTTGTAGTATAGTTTGAAGTCAGGTAATGTGATGCTTCCAGCTTTGTTCTTTTGGCTTAGGATTGTCTTGGCAATGAGGGCTCTTTTTTGGTTCCATATGAACTTTAAAGTAGTTTTTTCCAATTCTGTGAAGAAAGTTATTGGTAGCTTGATGGAGATGGCATTGAATCTGTAAATTACCTTGGGCAGTATGGCCATTTTCACGATATTGATTCTTCCTATCCATGAGCATGGAATGTTCTTCCATTTGTTTGTGTCCTCTTTTATTTTGTTGAGCAGTGGTTTGTAGTTCTCCTTGAAGAGGTCCTTCACATCCCTTGTAAGTTGGATTCCTAAGTATTTTATTCTCTTTGAAGCAATTGTGAATGGGAGTTCACTCATGATTTGGCTCTCTGTTTGTCTGTTATTGGTATATAAGAATGCTTGTGGTTTTTGCACATTGATTTTGTATCCTGAGACTTTGCTGAAGTTGCTTATCAGCTTAAGGAGATTTTGGGCTGAGACAATGGGGTTTTCTAAATATACAATCATGTTATCTGCAAACAGGGACAATTTGACTTCCTCTTTTCCTAATTGAATACACTTTATTTCTTGCTCCTGCCTGATTGCCCTAGCCAGAACTTCCAACACTATGTTGAATAGCAGTGGTGAGAGAGGGCATCCCTGTCTTGTGCCAGGTTTCAAAGGGAATGCTTCCAGTTTTTGCCCATTCAGTATGATATTGGCTGTGGGTTTGTCATAAATACCTCTTATTATTTTGAGATATGTCCTATCAATACCTAATTTATTGAGAGTTTTTAGCATGAAGCGCTGCTGAATTTTGTCAAAGGCCTTTTCTCCATCTACTGAGATAACCATGTGGTTTTTGTCTTTGGTTCTGTTTACGTGATGGATTACATTTATTGATTTGCCTATGTTGAACCAGCCTTGCATCCTAGGGAATGAAGCCCACTTGATCATGGTAGATAAGCTTTTCGATGTGCTGCTGGATTCGGTTTGCCAGTATTTTATTGAGGATTTTTGCATCGATGTTCATCAGGGATATTCGTCTAAAATTCTCTTTTTTTGTTGTGTCTCTGTCAGGCTTTGGTATCAGGATGGTGCTGGCCTCATAAAATGAGTTAGGGAGGATTCCCTCATCTTATATTGATTGGAATAGTTTCAGGAGGAATGGTACCAGCTCCTCCTTGTACCTCTGGTAGAATTCAGCTGTGAATCCATCTGGTGCTAGACTTTTTTGGGTTGATAGGCTATTAATTATTGCCTCAATTTCAGAGCCTGTTATTGGTCTATTCAGGGATTCAACTTCTTCCTGGTTTAGTCTTGGGAGGGTGTAAGTGTCCAGGAATTTATCCATTTCTTCTAGATTTTCTAGTTTATTTGTGTAGAGGAGTTTATAGTATTCTCTGATGGTAGTTTGTATTTCTATGGGATTGGTGGTGATATCCCCTTTGTCATTTTTTATTGTGTCTATTTGATTCTTCTCTCTTTTCTTCTTTATTAGTCTTGCTAGCAGTCTATCAATTTTGTTGATCTTTTCAAAACCCAGCTCCTGGATTCATTGATTTTTTGAAGGGTTTTTTGTGTCTCTCTATCTCCTTCATTTCTGCTCTGATCTTAGTTATTTCTTGCCTTCTGCTAGCTTTTGAATGTGTTTGTTCTTGCTTCTCTAGTTCTTTTAGTTGCAATGTTAGAGTGTCAATTTTAGATCTTTCCTGCTTTCCCTTGTGGGCATTTAGTGCTATAAATTTCCCTCTACACACTGCTTTGAATGTGTCCCAGAGATCCTGGTATATTGTGTCTTTGTTCTCATTGGTTTCAAAGAACATCTTTATTTCTGCCTTCATTTTGTTATGTACCCAGTAGTCATTCAGGAATAGCTTGTTCAGTTTCCATGTAGTTGAGTGGTTTTGAGTGAGTTTCTTAATCCTGAGTTCTAGTTTGATTGCACTGTGGTCTGAGAGACAGTTTGTTATAATTTCTGTTCTTTTACATTTGCTGAGGAGTGCTTTACTTCTAACTATGTGGTCAATTTTTGAATAAGTGTGATGTGGTGCTGAGAAGAATGTATATTCTGTTGATTTGGGGTGGAGAGTTCTGTAGATGTCTATTAGGTCTGCTTGGTGCAGAGCTGAGTTCAATTCCTGGATATCCTTGTTAATTTTCTGTCTCATTGATCTGTCTAATGTTGACAGTGGGGTGTTAAAATCTCCCAGTATTATTGTGTGGGAGTCTAAGTCTCTTTGTAAGTCTCTAAGGACTTGCTTTATGAATCTGGGTGCTCCTGTATTGGGTGCATATATATTTAGGATAGTTAGCTCTTCTTGTTGAATTGATCCCTTCACCATTATGTAATCGCCTTCTTTGTCTCTTTTGATTTTTGTTGGTTTAAAGTCTGTCTTATCAGAGACTAGGACTGCAACCCCTGCCTTTTTTTGTTTTCCATTTGCTTGGTAGATCTTCCTCCATCCCTTTATTTTGAGCCTATGTTTGTCTCTGCACGTGAGACGGGTCTCCTGAATACAGCACACTAATGGGTCTTGACTCTTTATCCAATTTGCTAGTCTGTGTCTTTTAATTGGAGCATTTAGCCCATTTACATTCAAAGTTAATATTGTTGTGTGAATTTGATCTTGTCACTATGATGTTAGCTGGTTATTTTGCTCGTTAGTTGATGCAGTTTCTTCCTAGCATTGATGGTCTTTACAATTTGGCATGTTTTTGCAGTGGCTGGTACCGGTTGTTCCTTTCCATGTTTAGTGCTTCCTTCAGGAGCTCTTGTAGGGCAGGCCTGGTGGTGACAAAATCTCTCAGCATTTGCTTGTCTGTAAAGTATTTTATTTCTCCTTCACTTATGAAGCTTAGTTTGGCTGGATATGAAATTCTGGGTTGAAAATTCTTTTCTTTAAGTATGTTGAATATTGGTCCCCACTCTCTTCTGGCTTGTAGAGTTTCTGCCAAGAGATCCGCTGTTAGTCTGATGGGCTTCCCTTTCAGGGTAACCCAACATTTCTCTCTGGCTGCCCTTAACATTTTTTCCTTCATTTCAACTTTGGTGACTCTGACAATTACGTGTCTTGGAGTTGCTCTTCTCGAGGAGTATCTTTGTGGCATTCTCTGTATTTCCTGAATTTGAATGTTGGCCTGCCTTGCTAGGTTGGGGAAGTTCTCCTAGATAATAACCTGCAGAGTGTTTTCCAGCTTGGTTCCATTCTCCTCATCATTTTCAGGTACACCAATCAGACTTAGATTTGGTCTTTTCAAATAGTCCCATATTTCTTAGAGGCTTTGTTTGTTTCTTTTTACTCTGTTTTCTCTAAACTTCTCTTTCACTTCATTTCATTCATTTGATCTTCAATCACTGATACTCTTTCTTCCAGTTGATCAAATCGGCTACTGAAGCTTGTGCATTCAGCACGTAGTTCTCGTGCCATGGTTTTCAGCTCCATCAGGTCATTTGAGGACTTCTCTACACTGGTTATTCTAGTTAGCCATTCGTCCAATCTTTTTTCAAGGTTTTTAGCTTCTTTGCGCTGGGTTCGCACTTCCTCCTTTAGCTCGGAGAAGTTTGATCATCTGAAGCCTTCTACTCTCAACTCATCAAAGTCATTCTCCATCCAGCATTGTTCCGTTGCTGGAGAGGAGCTGTGTTCCTTTGGAGGGGGAGAGGAGCTCTGATTTTTAGAATTTTCAGCTTTTCTGCTCTGTTTTTTCCCCATCTTTGTGGTTTTATCTACCTTTGGTCTTTGATGATGGTGATGTACAGATGGGGTTTTGGTGTGGATGTCCTTTCTGTTTGTTAGTTTTCCTTCTAACAGTCAGGACCTTCAGATGCATGTCTGTTGGAGTTTGCTGGATGTCCACTCCAGACCCTGTTTGCCTGGGTATCAGCAGCGGAGGCTGCAGAAGAGCAAATACTGCTGAAGAGCAAATGTTGCTGCCTGATCATTCCTCTGGAAGCTTCATCTCAGAGGGGTACCCGGCCATGTGAGGTGCCAGTCTTCCCCTACTGGGGGTGCCTCCCAGTTAGGCTACTCAGAGGTCAGGGACCCACTTGAGGAGGCAGTCTGTCCGTTCTCAGATCTCAAACTCCATGCTGGGAGAACCACCACTCTCTTCAAAGCTGTCAGACAGGGACATTTAAGTCTGCAGAGGTTTCTGCTTCCTTTTGTTCAGCTATGCCCTGCCCCCAGAGGTGGAGTCTATAGAGGCAGGCAGGTCTCCTTGAGCTGCTGTGGGCTCCACCCAGTTCCAGCTTTCTGGCCGCTTTGTTTACCTACTCAAGCCTCAGCAATGGCAGGCGCCCCTCCCCCAGCCTCGCTGCCACCTTGCAGTTTGATCTCAGACTGCTATGCTAGCAATGAGCGAGGCTCCGTGGGCATGGGACCCTCCGAGCCAGGCACAGGATATAATCCTCTGGTGTGCCATTTGCTAAGACCATTGGAAAAGCGCAGTATTAGGGTAGGAGTGACCTGATTTTCCAGGTGCCGTATGTCACCCCTTCCCTTGGCTAGGAAAGGGAATTCCCTGACCCCTTGCACTTTCCGGGTGAGGTGATGCCTCACCTTGCTTCAGCTCATGCTCAGTGGACTGCACCCACTGTCCTGCCCCCACTGTCCGACAAGCCTGAGATGAACCCTGTACCTCAGTTGGAAATGCAGAAATCACCCGTCTTCTGTGTCGCTCATGCTGGGAGCTGTAGACTGGAGCTGTTCCTATTCAGCCATCTTGGAACTGCCAACAACACTTAATTTTTATGCTATTGTATTTTCAGAGTGTTTGGTATGAGTGAGGACTCAATACTTTTAAAGTGATTGATAGACTAAGTTTGATTGGACCACAGACAAAACCCACATGTATATTCCATATAAAGACATGTCAGAGTTCTCAGTCACATTAATATCTATAAATAGAAACACCAAAATCAACTGTACTTTCAAAATAGTAATTATATTAGAGGAAAAGGATATACATAGCTGTAGCAAAGAGACTCATAAGGAAAGTGGCTTAAAACAAAAAATGTATTTCCCACTCACATTACAGTTCTAACGTGGGTTGTCCAGGTTGGCAGAGCAACTATTGCCTATATGGACATTCAAGGACCTGAGTACTTTCTCATACAGCTCCTTCACTCTCTCTTGGGGATTGCGCCACCATCTACATGGTCAAAACTAGGTCAACATGAGTTCTAGCCCATGAAAAAGGAGAAGAGAACATGGAAGAGACAAGAGAATAGAGCATGTATCAGCCTGGCTTCTAACAGAAAAGCAGAAGCAGTAGGTTAGACATATATTGACATGGTTTGGCTCTGTGTCCCCACCCAAATCTCATGTTGTATTTTAATCCCCAGTGTTGAAGAAGGGACCTGGTGGGAGGTGATTGGATACATTGGGGTGTATTTTTCCCTTGCTGTTCTCATGATAGTGAGTTCTCAAGAGATCTGGTTGTTTAAAAGTGTGTTACACTTCCCCCTTCACTCTCTCTCCCCTGCCACCATGTGGAGACATGCTTGCTTCCCCTTCACCCTTCTGTCATGATTGTAACTTTCCTGAGGCCTCCTGTACAGCCTGTGGAACTGTGAGTCAATTAAACCTCTTTTCTTTATAAATTACCCAGTCTCGGGTAGTTCTTTATAGCAGTGTGAGAACAGACGAATACAAAAAATTGGTACCAGAGAAGTGGGACATTACTATAAAGATATCTGAAAATGTAAAAGCAACTTTGGAACTGGGTAATGGGCAGAGTTTGGAAGAGTTTGGAGGGCTCAAAAGAAGACAGGAAGATGTGGGAAAGTTTGGAAACTCCTAGAGACTTTTTGAATGGTTTTAACCAAAATGCTGATAGTGATATTGACAGTGAAGTCCAGGCTGATGAGGTCTCAGATGGAGATGAGGAACTTATTGGGAATTGGAGCAAAGGTCACTCTTACTATGCTATAACAAAGAGACTGGCAGCATTATGCCCCTGCCCTAGAGATCTGTGGAACTTTGAACTTGAGAGAAAGGATTTGGGGAGTGTCTCGTGGAAGAAATTTTTAAACAGCAAAGTGATCAACATGTAGCCTGGCTGCTTCTAACAGCGTATGCTCATATGCGTTCAAGAAGAGATGGTCTGAAATTGGAACTTACATTGAAAAGAAGCAGAGCATAAAAGTTTGGAAAATTTGCATCCTGACCATGTGGTAGAAAAGAAAAACTCATTTTCTGGGAAGAAATTCTAGCTAGCTGTAGAAACTTGCATAAGTGAAGAGGAGCCAAATGTTAATAGCCAGGATAATGGGGAAAATGTTTCCAGGGCATTTCAGATATCTTCACAGCAGCCCCTCCCATAACAAGCCTGGAAACCTAGGAGGGAAAAATGGTTTGTGGGCTGGGCCCAGGGCCCTGATGCTCTTTGCAGCCTCAGGACATGGCTCCCTGTGTCTTAACTGCTCCAGCTATAGCAGTGGCTAAAAGGGGCCAAGTTACAGCTTAGGCTGTTGCTTCAGAAGGTGCAAGCCCCAAGCCTTGGTAGATTCCATGTGGTGTTGGGCCTGCAGGTGCACAGAAGACAAGAGTTGAGCTTTGGGACCCTCTGCCTAGATTTCAGAAGATGTATGGAAACAAATGGATGTCCATGTAGAAGTCTGCTGCACAGCTCAGATACAGAACCTCTACTAGGACAGTGTGGATGGGAATGTGAGGTTGGAGTCCCCACACAGAGTCCCCCCTGGAGCACTGCCTAGTGGAGCTATAAGTAGAGGGCCACTGTCCTCCAGACCCCAGAATCATAGATCCACCAACAGGTTGCACCATGCATCTGAAAAAGCTTCATGCACTCAATGCCAGTCCATGAAAGAAGCTGTGGGGGCTGTATCCCACAGAGCCACAGGGGAAGAGCTACTCAAGGCTATAGGAACCCACTCCTTCCATCAGTATGCCCTGGATGTGAGACATGGAGTCAAAGGAGATTATTTTGGAGCTTTAAGATTTAATGACCATTCTGCTGGGTTTTTGACTTGCATGGGACCTGTAGCCACTTTATTTTGGCCAATGTCTCCCTTTTAGAATGGGAGAATTTACCCAATGCCTGTGTCACCATTTTGTCTTGGAAGTAACTAACTTGTTTTTGATTTTACAGGCTCATATGTGGAAGGGACTTGCCTTGCCTCAGATGAGATTTTGGACTTGGACTTTTGAGTAAAGACTGGAATGAATTAAGACTTTGGGGACTTGTCAGGAAGGCTGGATTGGTTTTGAAATGTGAGAAGGACATGAGATTTGAGAGGGGCCAGGGGTGAAATAGTATGTTTTGGCTCTGTGTTCTCACCCAAATCTGATGTTGAATTGTAATCCCTAGTGTTGCGGGAAGGACCTGGTGGGAGGTGATTGGATCATGGGGGCGAATTTCTCCTTTGCTATTCTTGTGATATGGAGTGAGTTCTCAGGAGATATGGTTGTTTAAAAGTGTGTACCACTTCCCCCTTCACTCTCTCTCTCCTGCCAGCAGGTGAAGATGTTCTGGCTTCCCCTTCACCCTTCCACCATGGTTGTAAGTTTTCTGAGGCCTCCCCCAGCCATGCTTCCTGTACAGCCTGTAGAACTGAGTCAATTAAATCTCTTTTCTTATAAATTACTCAATCTCAGGTAGTTCTTTATAGCAGTGTGAGAACAGACTAATATATATATATCAAGAGATTTATTGCAGGGAATTGGCTTGTGAGATTTTGGGTAGGAATCCAAGGAATATTGGCTAGGAAAATCTCAAATCTATAGAGCAGGCGCCTTAGGAAGGCAGGCTGTAGAAAACTCTACAACAGAAATTAAAGTCCACAGATAGAATTTCTTCCTCCTCAAGGAAATCTCACTCCTGCTCTTAAGCACTTTCAACTGACTGGATTGGTCCCAGTCCAAGGATAACATCTTTTATGTAAATGCAACTCAGATATCAATCACAGTTACAGAAGGTATCTGTAAAATATCTTCACAGGCTGGATGTGGTGGCTCTTACTTGTAACCCCAACATATTTTGAGGCCAAGGCAGGACTGCTTGGCCCAAGAATTCCAGACCAGCCTGGGCAACATAGTGAGACTCTGTCTCTATTTAAAATAAATGAATAAATAACAAATAAATAAGTAAAATACCTTCACATCAATACCTCAATGCTCATTTTATTGAATTAACTAGGGACTATAGCCTAGCCAAGTTGGCACATAGAACCGACCATCACAGAGGAGAAAGGAACATGGAGGAATGCATAGAGGAGAACACTAGAGAAGAATCACCCACTGTGTTTGGGCCCAGGTGAAGGAGGCACCTTCACTTGCACTCACATTCCACTGCGAGATCTTAGTCATGTGGATGCACCTAATTGCAAGGAGGACTAGGAAATGTAGTCCAGCCATGGGCTCGGTATAAAAGCAAAAATAGTTTTAGTGGACAACTAAGTGGTCACCATGGCAATGGTCAATTTTCAGAAAGTGGGTCTCAGTTCTTTAGTTGCGCATGTTTGGTCCTCACGCTACAGAACTGAGAATGGACTTTTCCCTTTCCAAATAAAGTCTTACTAATACCTAAAAACCTGAAATCATTGCTAATACATATCGGCTTACATATGCAATAGGCCATACAAACTATCTCCTCGGCATTGCTTGTCCAGCTGCTATTTTTTCCAGCAGAGGTATGAGCTTTGATCAAACTTCAGTAATTATTTGTGCAAATTTCCATCGTATAACCCTGCTAAATGTACTGAGTCCATATTATATAATTGACATTCTACTACCTATTTTGTAATGAACAATTGAGAACTTCTAGTTCTAGCAATTCACCAAGAGAGAATGATAAACACTGAAATATTTTGGCTGATTAAACCAGAGAGATTTGATCATATAAGAGCAAGCTTCCTGACTTCAAAACTTGTGAAAAAGTGTGAGATAACTCTGGGACTGGAAACATGTTTCATTTCTCTTAGCAGCTTTATTTCATTTTCACTCATTCACCTTTATTTGAATCTATAGACATGACCCTAAAATAACCTTTCTGCTGGCACCCTTCCATTCATTTTCTCCTCATTGTCACTCTTCCTAAAATCTAATTACTAAGCAAGGAAGGAAGAAATAGAAGGAGACAGCCTGGAACTTCATTGAGTTTGGCTTCCTTCCAGCTCTGATTTTTCCACATGTATTCCCAATACTGCTAAAGTTAAGAGGCTTAAGTGACTTCCACGTTGGTGAGATATCATTATCACTATACTCCTATCACTCCAGGGTCCCTAAAACATTATGTGTGGCCATGTATTGTAGTTACTATTTTAGTATGTCTCACTTTCAAATGAGGTGAAAGGTAGTGAGGAATCCAGTTAAGATATGGTGCCTATTCTCCAGAAATTTACCAGCAAGGGACATGATAGATGTGCACAGAACAAAATTAGGGCTTATCTCTTACTAGAAGAATCTTTGTTCTTTTATGAACTTGTTCCCCCTCTTTCCCTCCAGGTTTTGTCTCCAGATTTTTCTGAAAATATTAATGAAGCCAGCTGGGAAGAGGAGCAGTTTGGATGAGACTGGGATAAGAAGTGGTTAATAAAATCTGGTTATCTATTCTGGAAAAAATAAACAGCTGATACCACCATTCTGAACTATTACAGTGAATTCCACATAGGCACTGAAGGTGCAAGCTTTCATGAATTGCTTGCCTTTGAGTCAGGTACTGTGTTAAGGACATTATGTTTAGGACTAGATTTACTTCTCCAAAAAGCTAATTCCATGAGGTAAGTATGATTAGCCCCAATTTTCAAATAAGGACATCAATGTTCAGAGATTTATTAATTTGCCCAAAATCAAATTGCTAACATGTAGTAAAGATGTTAACTTACCCGTGTTTTTTCTACTACATATAAATGCACAAGGACCTGAGTTAAGAGAAATTGTTTCCGGTAGTGTCTTAGTGCAAGCTGCCAGTTTTAAAATGTTGTTTAAGCCTGGGAGACTTAAATAACAGAAATGTATTTCTCAGTTCTGGAGGTTGGGAAGTCCAAGATAAAGATGCCAGCAGATCCAGTGTTTGGTGAGGACCGGCTTCTTGGTTTGTAGATGTCCACCTTTTCATTGTATCCTCACATGGCAGAGAACAGAAGGCAGAAAGCAGAGAGAGATGCTTTCTCCTGTATTTTCATAAGAGCACTAATCACTTATGAGGACTCCACCCTCATGATCTAATCACTTCCTAAAGGCCCTACTGCCTAATACCATCATACTGGGGATTTGAATTTCAACATATGAATTTTACGGATAATACAAACATTCAACCTATAGCAGATACCTTTAAAAAGAATTATTTCCACTCATTAAAAATACAAAAAATAAAGATGTGAACTATTAAAGATTTTAATATTTATGAGACGGACTTCAGAATCTATTTTCTAAAGATCACAGAACTACTTGGATAAATTGAGTGCAAGTTTAGACAGTAAAAATGGCACAGGGACAAAGAAGAGGGGAGGAAGAAAGAGAACCTCTTTTTATCCTTCGGCTGCTGAAAAGCTTGCCTGAAGTTAGCCTTAACTAGATTCAGAAATAAATTCCAACACGTACTCAAAGTTAGTGGGTCTTAAGTTATAATGGTATTAGGTTTATTTACAAACTAAAGATATTAAAAATGAAATTGTATTTATATATATTTTTATTCCCTCATTAAATATGCCTTTTAAACTATCATTAGAAAATAACATAATGATCACTTTCTAAATGAAATGACCTCAATCTATATTCTACTGGCCCTTCAAGACACCAAGTCCTTAGCTCACATAGTATTTTCATCCACAAAGACAACTCTCAAGGCACCAGACTGTTTCTACCTCTATTAACATACCTTTTACATTGTACTAAAATTCTTTTTATGTATCTATGAATGGTATCTAACATGGTGCCTGTGTAGATAATAGTGGATGAATGAAAGAGGGGGAGAAAGAGAGAAATGAAGGGAAAGAAAAAGAGAAAAAGAATACTGATTTGTCCCCTTGAGGACAGAGACATTGCTAGACACAAGAAAAAAAAAATCTTTGCCCATGATCCACTCACACACATGGAAAAGAGCAACAGCATGCTACCCCTGGTAGCATTCACTGAGGACTTACTATGTGTTGGGCCCTACTCTATAAATAGTTGCCATCATCCTTCTCATTATTATCTATGAGTACACTGAGAAACTGAGATTATGCAATTAGCCCAAAGTCACAGTTAGTAAATGATGAAGTCATTATTCAAACCTTAGCAACCTGAGTCTAGCTCCCATACTCATATCCAGGACTTTCTACTACCTTCCAAATAAACAGGTAATTACAGTGTTCCATGCCCAAAGAGAACTCTGTTCCAAGTGCCAAAGGAACAGAGAAGGCGTAGTCTGTGCAGATGGGAAAGAAAACGAGCAGGCAAAGAGAAAAAATTATCCCAAATTATAGAGATCTGAAAGCATGTGGCAAATTCCATGTGTGAAGAAGGTAGTACTGGATGGAGTCGGGGAGCAGGGCTGGAGACTCTGAATGTGGGCTGGGAACTGATTGTAAAATATATTTTCATTCAACATTTCACAATCAGCTATTTACTGAACACCTACTACATGCCAGCAGACAGCCATGAATAAAGCAGACAGAAACCCTTTATGGGGCTTACATCCTAGGGGGGAGGTGACAGACAATAAACGTATATATTGCGGCATGTGGTGATGAAACAGGAAAAGTTTTCCCTTATCCCCCTCACAGGGCATGCGATGCGGCTGCGGCTCGCTTCTTCTGCGTCCCACTGCTCAAACCCCTAGGGGGAACATGCAGAGGGGCAAGTCATGGGGCTCCGACCCCACAGCGCATCTAGGGTTGAGTGTTTACAGCTGCGGAAGCCCCAGCAGGCGTGTGTTACAGTGTGCTCTTTCAGTTTTGCTGTCTGCAGGCGGCTTGTGCTAATCAGCTCAATTAGACCCTCTGCCTTATCTCAAGGACAGAGGGCTTTCTGTATCCTGGGGTTCTTGCCCTAGCGTACTGGAAAAATCAGATCATATGTGGGCTTGGAAGATGGGTGCAAGGTTTTATTGAGTAAACGCAGCTCTCAGAGAGGTAGATGGGGAAGCCAGAAGGGGGGTGGAGTGGGAAGATGGTCTTCCCATGGAGTGGGGCCGCCCAGGACTAGACTTTCTTCCAACCGCCCAGTGACTAGACTCTCCTCCAACCGAATTCTCCTCAGCGTCTGCCTCTTTCTGCCGTCGATGGCCTGCCAGCATCTGCCAGTGTTTTCTTCTGCTTGTGTGTTCCTCTCGATGTCCAGTTGCTTATGTGTGTGCCCACTAGGGTCTTGGGGGTTTGAGAGTCACAGGATGGGGGACGTGGTGGGCCAGAGTGGTCTTGGAAAAATGCAATATTTGGGCGTGAAAGCAGGAGTGCCTGTCCTCACTTAGGTCTGTGGGCACAGACCTGAGGGTGGAGCCCTCATCAGGGACCCTGCCCTTCTCTACCCAGCACTGCCCTGCCCCCCTCCTGTATCAGTGATAAGTGCTCAGGATGAAAATCAACCAATGTAAGGAGACACAGAGTAAGGGGTAGGTGCTATTTGAGATAGGGTGGTGTCTGATAAGGCATTTGCACAGAGAATTCAAATGAAGGAAGCCTTTATTTTATTAGCAGGGACAGTTCAAGAAAGAGTTTAAGTAGGGATGTGATTTGATAAGATTTCCTTTTCTGGAAGCCACTTTTGGCTAATGGCTTGAGGTGGTGACAGGGAGTTGAGGTTGAGGAGAGCTGGAGGACCACTTAGAAAACTATGGTGAACTACTATATTATAAGAATAATGAGAAATTATGATAGACTAAACCACAGCAGCAACATGTGTGTGGTTTTTAAATAAGAATAACTTCCTTGTAGAATCTGGAACGCTGAGGAGGTCTCTTTCCAGTAACTTGGACCAGAGACAACTGTAAATGTGCTGGAAGCCAGAAGATGTTGGGGAAGCTGGCAAAGAGAAAACCTGAGAGTTATTTACTGCTCAGCCTGCAGCATCCATGAGTGACTGAAGGGAGTATCTGGACCTTTTTCTCACTTCCAAAAGCAAGTGCTACCAGAAAGGAAGAAGAAAACCTTGAAGTTATCTTAGCCTACAACAGTGATATCATCCATATCTTTATTGTCATGGATGAAAATGGGAAATAAAAGATTCTGATGGCTCCTAACTCCTTCCCACTCACACAGACATTAACCACACCATGGTCAGTTCCCCACCAGCATGTGTGCCCACCACAAAGGTCACTGCCACTCAACACAGATGCAGTGGGGGTAGGTACTGCCATACAGCAGAGACAGGTGAGGGCTGGCAGCCTGGCAATGGAGAAGAGAGCAGAGGTGAAGGTGCTATGCAGACAAGAGTAAGGGACAAGGAGGGCCTGGGCTGTGCCTGAGCTAGCTTTATTGTCCCTACTGTTAGAAAACTAAAAGAACTGAAAGTAGGCTGGGCTCTGTGGCTCATGTCTGTTATCCCAGTGTTTTCAGAGGCTGAGGTGAAAGAATCACTTCAGGCCAGGAGTTCAAGGTCAGCCTGGGCAACATAGCAAAACCCCATCTCTTCAAAACATTTAAAAAATTAGCTGGGCATGGTGGCATATGCCAGTAGTCCCAGCTATTCAGGAGGATCACTTGAGTCCACAGGTTCAAGGCTGCAGTGAGCCATGATGACGCCACTGCACTCCAGGCTAGACAACAAAGCAAGACCCTGTCTCTAAAAAATAAAAATTTAAAAATAGAAATGAAAGTCAACAACTTATAATGAAGACAAACACCAAAGACCACCATAGAGAAGGGCAACGAGGGCTTCAGGACAGTGCCCAGCCTGGATGTGGTGAATTCCTTCTTTCTCCTTCCCTAAAATGTTTAGAGGGCTATGGGTCAGATTTTAGGGAAAAATGAAAGAATTCATTAAACTAGAGGTTCTGCAAATAGATAACAGGTGTGCCACAAGATATTGATGTTTGTACTTTTTCTCAGTGGTGACAAAACTGAGTCATTTCCAAATTTACAACAGTTGAAATTATGCTTGACAAGTATTTTCGTAAAGGTCTCTCTGAATGTTTCCTAAACACATGAATTCTTATCTTGCTAGTAAGCTTGGATGAATAGCAATCTACAGAGAGCCGTCTATAAGGGCTACGATATGGCACAAGTCCAGGTGTGTAATACAAAATATAATTTTCCTATGTGCTCCATGAGGTACAAAGACAGGTGGCACTAGGTTAAACTCTCGTTTGTTTTTTAGAAGGAATGTGATTTATGACTAAGTTTTATTTACCACAGTGTCCTTGCCACCTAGCAGAGAGCCTGGCACCATAAAAAGTTTACTAAAATCTTGTAGAGGGGAAAAGCTGACTTAAGAGCCCTGGGAAGCTGTTTTAGGGTCTCTAGTGGCCACTTTGTCAGCTGGAGGTCCACTTGGGGGCTGGGGATACCTTCAGTCTGCAGGTTATTTTTGATTCTGAAGAGTTAAAAGGAACTGGAGCAGGGCAGAGAAGAAGGAAAGCTGGCTGCTTGCCAGAATCAAGAGAGAGAAATAAAGGGGATTCCAAAGCTTTCCTTGAGCATAGTTAGCCCAGGCTTTCCAGAGAGGAAAGATGGCTGAGACTCTAGAGGGATCTAACAACCACATGGTGGACAGTAGAGCTCCATGGTATATACACTTCGCTTTTACACATTCACCTATTTCTACTCCACAACAGGGAGTGAGAGAGTGGGGGTGGGAGTGGGGGAGAAGGAGTAAAGAGAGGAGACTTGAAAGAAAGAGAATAAATGGGAAATTGCTACATTGTTTTCCATGCACAAATGGGAGATATATATCCATTGTTCCCTTAGCCATTTGATACCCACATGCCTCTCACAATATAAACATCTTGCTGAACTAATCGCTTCAAACATTTAATTTTTTGTAGAGTAAGGCATCTAAACGTAGGTACTTAATCTAGTGCTAAATTATAGAAACAGAAATCCATTCTAACACTTTGTCAGACTTGTAAGAGACGGTGTGTTGATCTCTACCATGACACCTTCCTAATGGATTTTCAAAGGTTTGACCTCATAGCCTGGGCTTCGTATCTAACCTCAGGAGACATTTGGCATTGTTACATTGCTCAGGGACCTGGTCCTGATGAAGCCCTAATTTTGTTCATTTTTCTCTGAGTAGCTATGTTCTCTTATTGAGGTTACCCTCAGCCCAGGGACTGAATCATGACTGATTCAAGCCATTCATGGTTGTTTTATTCTCTTGCCAGGTAATTGGTTTAAATATGAATGTATAATATAATTCTGTCCAGTTATAAGTGAGGGGAAATCAACTGGGATGATTCTAGAAGGGTTTTCATTATTCTTAAAAATCAAAAAAAGCAAAAACAGGAATATTTCCCCTTTTCTACCTCTGGATATTCTTGTCTTCGTAAGATTACTTGGAACCAAGCAGCCACTGTCAGAATCAGCAAAAGAGGATAACAGAAATAAAAGTGTCTCTGTTGACATTTGAGGCAAACTTAGAATTGCCCTACCTTCAAACTTCTAGGTATACAGTATAGTAAGTAGTCTTATTATTTAGGCCACTTTTTGGTGTGTTTTCCTTTTATTCCTTATAGTCTACGGTAGATTAAATATGTCTATAAATTATTTACTTCTCTTATTGAGCAGTATTGTCCAATTCCTCTCCCCTTGAATCCAGGTGGGCCCTAGTGGCTTGCTTGATCAATAGAATACAATGGGAGACTTATGAGCTCGGGTCATATGAAGCTTTGCAGTTCCCATATAGTCTTCTTTTTATTTACTTATTTATTTTTTTAGAGACGCAGTCTCACTATATTGCCCAGGCTGGTCTCAAACTCCTGGGCTCAAGCAATCCTCCTACCTCAGCCTCCCAAAGTGTTGAGATGACAGGTGTCAGCCACCATGCCTGGCATCCATACAGTCTTCTTGAAAGGCTCCCTCTGAGAGACAGTAGCGGCAATGTAAGAAATTCAACTACCCTTAGACTGTGATGCAGTGAGAAGCCCAAGCCACATGGAGAGGAAACACATAGGTACTCTAGTTGATAGCCCAAGCTGACTTCCTAGCCAGTTTCAAAGACAAATTGCATCAAATAAGTTAAGCAGGCAAGAAAGACTTTATTCAAAACTACTGCAATAGGGAAGAGAGATGGAACTGAACTCTGAATACAACAGTAGTAGCTGGGGGTTTATAGCTAATGGGCAGGATAAGGAAGTCAGTGGATGGAAAATTAATAAGGTGAACTTGACAAACTGTAAAGGTAGAAGATTCTTGCTAAATTCACTTGGCAGGATTCTTGATAAAACTAGGCTGGACAGACCAAGAACAAGAGGCCGAGGATGAGGTCTGGCAAAGAAGACAGCTTGGAGAAGCCTGACTGAAGTTTGTTCAAGTAGGGAGTCCTTGTCACCAACAGCCACATCAACTGCTAGTCACATGAGTGACCATCTGGGATATCCAGCCCAGTCAGGTCTTTAGATGACTCTAGCCCAAGCTGCCATCTCACTGCAACCACACAAAATATACCAAGCAAGAACCACCCAGCTGAGCCCCATCAAATTATAGAATCATGAGTGATATAACAAATTGTTTTAAAACACTAAGTTTTACAGTTTTTTTTATGCAGCAGTAGATAACCAAAGCACAACCAAAAGCATTCCAAGTGATACAAAGATCTAGAAGATATGAACAAATTTCTTTTCACACAAGTATCTTCTGAGGAATTCAAGTGTTGAAGTAACATAATGAAAAGAGTACCAGGACTACTCTAAGGACCTGTACCACTGCAACAGGAGAGAGGGTGCTGCTAAGGTTTGACATATAAACAAGTGTATCGGTCCATTCTTACACTGCTATAAAGAAATACCTGAGACTGGGTAATTTATAAAGAAAAGAGATTTAATTGGCTCAGCTTCTGGTGAGGCCTCAGGAAACTTGCAATCATGGCAGAGGTGAATGGAGAGCCAGGCATCTTACATGGTGGAGCAGGATCACGAGAGAGAGTGGGGAGGTGCTACATACTTTTAAACAACAAGATCTCACAATAACTCACTATCATGCGAAGAGCACTAGGGGGATGGTGCTAAACCACTAGAAACCAACCTCATGATCCAATTCCCTCCCACCATGCCCTTACCTTCAACATTGGGGATTACAATTCAACATAGGATTTGGGTGGGGACACAGATCCAAACCACAGCAACAGGAATCACAGGGTGGCAAGAAATTTGAACTAGACATGTTTTGGAGCCCTCTCTGTTATAAGAATCGAGGAGCTTTAAATAATAGCTGGAAAACTCACTGAATCATTCATTATACAATCAAAAAATAATGAGAAACTTACCAGAGAGGTAGACCAACAATAAATGAGTGAATGGATAGGATATAAACAGAGCAGGACACTGGTAGTCCATGGTGATTGTCATTTTTGCTGCCACTCTCTTTGCAACCCCACACGGCTGTGCTGTGCCTGGCCTGGCCCTATCCCTTGAGTGTGCTGTCTGAGTACACTTATAGGCACCCCTTTCTACAGCTGTCTACTCAACCTCATGCATGGCCACAGAGACCCTCACTGATGCTCTCAAGGCACTTGGTGTCCAGTGCCACAGCCATTGTCCAGCCATCCCTTATCTGCCCACTGCACGCAAGTTGGGCCTGGTGCTGCCACTGAAGGAAACCCTCAGTCCCCATCATCCTCCCTTTTTCTGAAGATGACTTTCTGTCTCTTGGGTTTGTCCACCCTTGCTTTATCTAACCGTCAGCCATTTACCTTTGGGACAATCCACGCTAATCCAAATCAGTGATCTAGAAACCCTTTAACTGCTCCACCCAGAAGGCTGACAGGTAAGGATGGCAGGAGGGAAAGGAGGCCTGCCTCCAGGAAGCAAGGTCAGATTTCTCTTTTCTGGGATGGGGGTGGGGTGTGAAAGGAAATAGTTCACAAGAAGGAGAATAACAGTTTTTATTTTCTTTTTACTAATACCTCATCCTGTCGCACATGGTATTTGAGAAAGGAGAACTTGGTATTCTAGTCTATGGGGAAAAATCATTCTGAACTCTTGGAGTACATTTAAATTGTTTCTTGAACTAAAATGATGAAAGTATATTTCAGAGGAAAGATTTGAAGGTAAAAAGTTCATGGAAAAGATTTTCCTTATTTATAGCCCAGCGTTTCTCTGAAATGAACTGTATTTCAGTTCATATCAAGATAATTAATAGACCCGAGAAAGCAGTATTCCTAACAAAGATGATACTTAAAAGTGCCTATTTCATTAAAAAGCAAAATATACTACACAGCATAAAGTTGTCCTGTGTGTCCATTTTATAAATTCAATCTTCCCAAAAATATAAAAACATCATAAGACTCAGCACTTCAGAAATTAAACACAATCAGCTAAACATGAAAGTAGGTTTTGGTATTGATAGATGAAAGTGCCAGTTTGAAGCAGTAACATTTAACAGAAACTGACAGCAATTTAAAAGGGGTCATTTCCAGAGGTATAATCATTCAACCATAGCTTTTTGTAATATAGAAAGAGCAAAATAATATGAGTTACGATTGATTGTTCCATCATGAAGGGAACATATCCACAGGGAAGTTCACTGGAGTTGGAGTCAGAAGCCATGGCACTTGGCATTGCAAACATCACCTGGGGGAGCGGAGGCAAGTTGCTGGCCCAGGAGCTCCTTTCCTCACCCCTGCATGGAAGATACTATCACCCACACTGCCTGCCACCCAGGGGCTCAAATGGGAAATATGTGAAAAATATGTGCAATCTCTTTTCAATATATAAATGCTAACTACCATTGTGGTTATTGTTGTCAAAGCCAGTTTTGATAGTACTTGAGATATGGTGCTTAAAAAATCTTAAGAAATGTTAAATTTCTGTACTATAAATATAGAAATAATAGTTGACGTTTGAGTCCTAAAAATTTTTTTTATGGATCTATTTGTTTTGCTGTTGTGAATTATGTAGAAGGAGACAAATGCTAATTGAGATGGAAGACCAACCAAGAGATCAAGCTATCTCTGCGAATCAGGTAAATATCAGCAGTAATTATTGAGGAAATCTTGCATTCTATTTATTCTTTCAACTAACATTTATTGAGTTTTTGCTTCATGCTAGATATGGTGCTAAGTTTTAAACATTCAAGGAAAAATGGCACAATTTTTGCTCAGGGCTCTTACAGTATACTTGGAAAGACAGTCATGGCCCAATATGATAAAAGCAATAAAAGAAGTGGGTATGTGTAAATAAACATAGGACAGAGGTAACTGCGCTCCAAGAACTTAGAGTGCTTAAGGTTACAATGCTATGTGTAGGAGTGTGTATGTGTGTTGGTGGGTGTGAATGTATGTATATGCAAGTGTGTTGAGCATGTCACAAGAGGACAATAAATAAAACAAAACATTTTCATGAAGAAATATTTGTTTCAGCAAAATTTTTCCATGTGTTAGCTCAAGTATGCAGTATTTTTTAACTCTTTCATTATGAAAAATTTCAAACATAAAACAAGAGTAGAGAGAAATATATGATGAACTCCCATGTATCTATCATACAGAATCACAAAGATCAACATTCTGCTTGTTGTGGACTGAACTATGTCTCCCCCTAATTCATATGTTGAAGCCCTAACCCCCCGCACCTCAGAATGTGACTGTGTTAGGAGACAGATCCTTCAAAGAGGTCAGTAGGTTAAAATGAGGTTATTAGGGTGGGCTCCAATCCAATCTGACTTGTGTATTTATGAGAAGAAGAGACTCCGGCATAGGAGAGACACCAGGGATGTGCATACATAGTCACTGTATGTGGCAGAATCACCACATGTTTCATTATACAGTCAACAAAGGAGGAGGTCATGTGAGGACACAGCAAGAAGGTGGCCATCTGCAAGCCAGGGAGAGAGGCCTCCGGAGAAACCAAATAGAACCTTGCTCACTTACAGTTCTGTCAGCAACATGAGCACACCTATGTCAGTCTTGGATAGGATTATAGCCTGGCAGCAACTCCAAAGAGATAAAGGTCAAGGTCAGAGCCCACAGCATTAGGCCAAATGGGAAAGGTTTGAACTGCAAGAAGGTTGGCCCTTGCCATACTAGAGCCTTACAAATTAGCCAAACACATTCTCCTGTTTGTGAGGCCAGAGGCTATTTCCACAATGTCCTTCCAGTTCCATCTCTAAAACTATGGCAGCATTCAAGACTTGTTAGTAAAGAAAAGAAAACGAAATAGGAGAGGAATGGAGCCCAGATATTGCACTTGCACTTCTGACCAATATGAAGTAACAGAGACCAGATTTATCTTCCTGTGTGACACAACTAAAAAACCAAAATATGCATATATATATGAAACATTGACATTAAACATTGCACATCTCCTATGACTTTGCACATCAGGTAACAAAGAACAGTGATACATAAGAGATGGGGAACAAATGAGATAAGCCCCATGAGTGCCCCAGATTACTGCCTAAAGAAAGTTTTTTCCAGACTGTGATGTAGGGAGCAGGAACCGAGGCAGAGCCAGTGATCTCTTTGTGTTGAAGATATACAAGGTTGGGAATCTAAGGAGCACAAGGTAGCTGAAATTCAAAGGACATGGTACTAGAAAGGTCATAGCTACACAGAGAGAGAATTCTAAGGGTCCCCCTCAAGTATTCAATTGAGTAATGATGAGAACACGTATTTAAGGAAACAACCTGAGGTCTTGGCTGGGGTAGGGGGTGGGGTGGTAACTGGAAAGGATTGGAGAGAATAGTGCCTAAAGACCACATAGGATCAAGAATAGCTCCTGCTCCAAAGCCAGAGTGGAAAACCTCATCATTAATGGAGCATTGGTTAGAAAACTAAAAAGTCTTTTGCTTAAGTAGTAGGAAAAAGTTAACCCTAGACTAAACACTATAACAAGGCTTGAGAGCAAGGCACAGAAAGATCTAACAGTTTCTAAAAAGCTTAACTGCACTGCAGAATATTGCAGAATAAATTGTGCAGAATATTTAAAGGAATACAAAAATAATATACAATTATTAAAATATATAAATTGCATTTTATATATTATTAAAAGATATAATATATAATTTCTGGCATCCCATCAAAACTTGCCAGGCAGATAAAAAAGCAAAAATATGCAACCCATAATAAGAAGAATATCAATTAATCACAATGGATCCAGAAATTATACAGAAAATAAAATTAGTAGATAAAGCCATTAAACAGTAATTATTAAAATATATAAATTGCATTTTATATATTATTAAAAGATATAATATATAATTTCTGGCATCCAATCAAAACTTGCCAGGCAGATAAAAAAGCAAAAATATACAACCCATAATAAGAAGACAATCAATTAATCACAATGGATCCAGAAATTATATAGAAAATAAAATTAGTAGATAAAGCCATTAAACAGTATTATTGTATTATTTTATTATTGTAAATGTACTGTAACTGTTATTGTAACTGTATTCCACAGGCCCAGTAAATTACAGGAAAGATTAAACTTGTTAAGTAGAGACATGGAAGATACAAAAAAAAAACCCAGTTTGAACCTTTTAGAGATGTCTGAGATGAAAACCTCATGGATGGCATTAATAGCAGTTAGACGTTGCAGGACAAAGATTAGTGAATTTGAAGAGATAGCAATAAAAACCATGCAAATTGAAATAGCAAGGGAAAAAAGCTGAAAAAAAAATGAACAGCATCAATGAACTGTGGGACAATTTCAAGCAGCTAAATATATATATATATGTAATTGGAGTCCTTAAAGGGCAAAATGCGACAGAAAATATTTTAAGAGATAATGGTCAAAATTTTTCCAAATTTGATGAAAAGTATAACCCCCCAGATCATACCAACAAGCTGAACAAATCTGAAGTACAAGAAACTTGAAGAAAATTACACCAAGGCATATCAAAATCAAATTCTTAAAACCAGTGATAAAGATAAATCTTAAAAGTATCATATCTTAAAAGATATGCTATGTACAGAGGAACAAAGATAAGAGTGGCAGTATATTTCTTGTGGGAAACAATGCAAGCTAGAAAACAGTGGAAGATCATCTGGAAATTACAAAAAGAAAAAAAAGTAGGCAACTGGAATTCTTTACTCATTGAATATATCTTTCAAAACCAAAGATGAATATAGCTGAATTCTACCAAACATTTTAAAAAGAATTATCACTAATACTTCTTAAACTCTTCATAACAACAGAGCTAGAGGGAATACTTCCAAACACATATACAAGGCCAGTAATACCTAAACAATTAGGTATTACTTTGATACCTAAGCCAGACAAAGATACTTCAAGAAAACTACAGGCCAATATCTCTGATGAATGCTGATGCAAAAAATCTCAATAAAATATTAGCAAACTGAATTCAAAACACATGAAAAAAATTATACATTGTGACCAGGTAAGATTCATCCCTGGCATGCAAGGCTGGTTTACCAAATGCAATCAATCAAGGTAATACATCACATTAATAGAGTGAAAGATAAAAACCACATGATCATCTTACTTAATGCAGAAAAAGATTTGACAAAGTTCAGCATTTTTTCTTGATAAAAACTCTGAACAATTTAGGTATAGAAGGGGAGATTCTTAACATAATGAAGGCATTCATTAAAAAGCTACAGCTAACACAGTAACCAATAGGGAACTACTAAAAGATATTTAACTAAGAACCAGCACAAGTCAGGGAAGCCCACTTTCACCATTTCTATGTAACACAGTACTGGAAGTGCTAGCAAGAGAAATTAGACAAGAAAACGAGTAAACAGCATCCAAATTGAAAATGAAGGAATAAAATCATCTCTATTTGCAGATGGCATGATCCTACATGTTTCTTCATATAGAAACCCTAAAGATTTCACAAAAAAATCTTAGAATTACTAAATGGACTCACGAGTGTTGCAGGGTATAAAAATCAACATACAAAAATCAGTAGCATTTCTGTGTGCAAATTAGACCTAGTTGAAAAAGAAATCAAGAAAATAATCCCATTTATGAAAGTAATTAAAAAATAAATTTAGGAATAAATTCAACCAAGGTGAAAAATTTGTATACTAAAAACTACAAAACACTGATGAAATAAATTGAAGAAAATAAAAATAAATTGAAAGAGATACTGTGTTTATGGATCAGAAGAATATTGTTAAAATATTCATATTACTGAACATAATATACAGATTCAGTGTAATCTCTCTCAAAATTCCAATGGCATTCTTCATAGAAATAGAAAAAGCAATCCTAAAATTTGTATAGGACCCTGCCTGCCAGCAACAACAACAAAAAACCTGAATAGTCAAAGCAATACTGTAAAAGAAAAACAAAGTTAGAGGCATCATACTTCCTGATTTAAAATTGTATCATAAAGCTACATTAATCGAAACAGTATGGTACTGGCATAAAAACAGAAACATAGACTAATGAAACAGAATAGAGAGCCCAAGAATAAATCCAAACATAAATAGTCAATTTTCAACAAGGGTACCAAGAGAACACAGTGGTAAAAGAATAGTGTATTCAATAAATTGTGTGGGGAAAACTGAATCTGCACATGCAAAAGAATAAAATGGGACCCTTATCTTACACCATACACAAAAATCAACTCAAAAATGAATAAAAGACCTAAATGTAAGCCCTGAAACCATAAAAATCCTAGAAAAGTACACAAGGGAAGAGTTCCTTGACACTGGCCTTAGCAACGATTTTTTTGATGACACACCAAAAACTCAGGCTACAAAAGCAAAAATAAATAAATGGAACTACATCAAAGTATTCACAAATCACATATCTTATGAGGGGTTAATATCCAAATTGTATATAGAACCCTTACAACTCAACAACAAAAAAACAAAAAACAAATAACCAGATTAAAAAACGGGCAAAGGACCTGAACATACATTTCTCCTAAGAAGATATAAAAGTTGTCAACGGATACATAAGGTACTCAACATCACTAATCATCAGGGAAATACAAGTAAAAACCACTGTATCATCTCACACTTGTTAGGATGGCTATAATCAAAAAGATAAGGAATAACAAATGTTGGTGAGGGTGTAGAGAAAGAGAAACCCTGGAATATTGTTGGTGGAAATACAGATTGGTACAGCCATTATGGAAACAGTATAAAGGGTCCCAAAGAAATTAAAAGTAGAACCACCATATGACCCAGCAATTCCTCTGCTGTGTATATCCCAAAGGAGATTATATAACCACCTCATAAAGATATCTGCACTTCCATGTTCAATCCAGCATCATTCACAATGGCCAAGATATGGAACCAACCTAAGTGTCCATCAACAGATGAGTGGATAAATAAAATGTGGCATATATGTACAACGGAGTATTACCCAGCCTTGAAAGAGAAGATCTTGCAATTTGCCACAACATAGATAAAACTGAAAGGCATTATGCTAAGTGAAATAAGCCAGACACAGAAAGAAAAATATTGTATAACCTGACTTATGTGTGTAATCTATAAAAAAATTATGGAACATGCAAAGATAAAGAAACAATGGTTATCATGGGAAGGGGGTAATAGGCAGATTTCATCAAAGGATATGAAGTAACACATATGTATGATAAACAAGTCTAGAGCTCTAATGTACAAAATGAGGATTATAGTAAATAAAATTGTATTAAATATTTGGAAGAAAATATAGAAGAAAATCTTTGTGACATTTGGCCAGGCAGAGTTTTTAGATATAACAACAAAAGTACAGTCTATAATAGAAAAAGAGTTGACATATTAGACAATAACAATTTAGAACTTTTTTGCTCTGAAAAAGGTTAAGAAATGAAAAGATAAGCTAGTGACTGGGAGAAAATATGTGCAAACCATATATCTGATGAAGGACTTGTATCCAGGTTCAAGAACTCTCAAAACCCAACAAACAGGGAACAGACCAATTTTTTAAAATGTACCAAAAATTTGAGCAAACACTCCACTAAAGATATACTGATGGCCAAAAAGCACATGAAACATCTGCCAGCACTTTGGGAGGCCAAAGTGGGTGGATCATGAGGTCAGGAGTTTGAGACCAGCCTGGCCAAGATGGTGAAACCCTGTCTCTACTAAAAATACAAAAATTAGCCAGGCACAGTGGTGGGCTCCTGTAATCCCAGCTACTTGGGAGGCTGAGGCAGGAGAATCACTCGAACCCAGGAGGCGGACCTTGCAGTGAGCCAAGATCGCACCACTGTACTCTAGCCTGGGTGACAGAGCAAGACTCTGTCTCAAAAAAAAAAAAATGTAAATTAAAACCACAAAGATGACCAATGTTTACCTATAAGAAGGGCTAAATATAAAAAATACATAACAAAGAACTACCCATACCAAGTGTTGATGAGGATGAGGAGCAACTGGAACTCTCACATGTTGCTAGTGAGATTGCAAAATAGAGCTGCTCTTGAAAACAGTTTGGCAGTTTCTTATAAAATTAAACATACACTTTCCATATGGCCCATCAATTCCACTCGAAAGTATTTACCATAAAGCAAGAGTCACACGTTTTTGAAAATGAAGTTGTATTGGAACACAGCCACACTTATTTATGTAATGACTGTGGTTCTTTTTATACTTCAGGGGAAGTGCTGAGGAGTTGCAACAGAAACTATATATCCAGCAAAGCCTAAATATCTATAATCTGTCCCTTTACAGAAAAAAATTGTTGATCTGTCCCGAAATAAATGAACACAAATATTTATAGCAGCTTTAGTCATAATTGCCCCCCAAAAAACAACCAGAAACAACCCAAATGTTCTTCGATATGTGAATGGATCAAGAAATTGTGGTAAATCTATAGAATGGAATTTTACTCAGCAATAAAAAGGAATGAATAATTGATACATGAAACAGCACAAATGAATCTCAAAATAATTATGCTGAGTGAAAGGAGGCAGACAAAAATGAAGAGTACATATTGAATGATTCCAATTATATAAAGTTGTGGGAAAAGGAAAACTTATAATGACAAAGTGCAAATCAGTTGTTGCCTGGAGATGGGGGTTGGGGCAGAGAGGCAGAGGAAAGGATTGCAAATGGTCAAGAGGAAATTCTAGAGATGATGGATATGTTTGCTATCTTGATTGTGATAATGGTATGTGTGTGTACACACACGTAGACACACGCATGCACACACACAGGAAACAGACCAGTTTTTTAAATGCTATATATGTCAAACCCTTTAAATATGTGGTTTATTATAAGTTAATTGTCTCTCAATAAAGCTATCAAAAGCCCAGACCTGCACTGAGTCCAATGCCTGCACATTCCACCATGATGTTCTACCTTCTCTTGTATGACAGGAAGGAGCTGCACTGTGGAAAGTCTAACCACTGACACCGGACAGTAAGTAACAGCCTGCCATGTTTTAATCCCACATGCTCTGATCTTGGAGTGGGGCTAGGTAGGAAGACACAAGCTGCCTCTTCACAGAGGAGTTTTGCAGTCATCAGAGCCAGAGCCACAGGCCTCCCCAGGAATAAGCCTGTATCCTTGCCTTCCACGCCTCCCCTTCCACCCTGACTGCCTGACCTGGCCCAGGTGGAGCGTCTCAGAAATCCTAACAGAAATCTGGGTACCTCTATTTTTGAGACTCCAAGAAGCCAGAAAGCATAGACTTATTTAAATAAATAGTGTCATTCACTGTCACAGGTTGGATTATCTGGAAGCAGATACTGATACTGAGTTGGGGGCAAGACATTTATGAGGAACCAGCCTGTGAAAGAAAGGGACAGGACCGAAATAGGGTGGCAGAAGGATAATCAAACTGTGGCCAAGGTCAGCAAAGCCTTGGTCAACTTGGAGGGGAACTCTGAGGTGTCCCTGGCAAGTACATCCCAAGTGAGTACCAGACAGTTGGTTCTTTGTACCCCTGCCACACTGACTCACTACATGCGGCTGACCAGGAAAGGGTCAGCATAGACTGAGTACCCTTCTGCAGCTAAGGTGGACCCTGAAGGAGCTAATGGCTAGATGCTGTCATCTGGATCACAGGGTCTCTGTAGACTCAGGGTGACTTGAGATAATTATACTATGTTCATTTATCATTAAAAAACACATGCCAAAACAAATCAGTGTGCAAAATATAAATGTGGTCTCTTGACCATTTTCACTAGCTGTAAACACAAGACAAGAGAAAAGAAATTAGGTCCTCTAATTACAGACAGATCAACTTCACTAATTTATCTTTTGTCCCTTTCATGTGCTGCCCAAGGTTTCCAAGCCTTGTCACATTGTGAGTGATGACGTTGGATGGCAGATTTCTGAGCTAGCTAAAAAGGAAAAATTAAAAAGTAAAACCACATACCTGACCTGTTAGGAAGAAACTGTATATTATATGCAGAAGGAGAAAGTAGAAAACTACTCATTAATTATGGGTATGCTTGACTGGCTATAGAAAACCTGATAGGTGTAAAGGAGTAGAAATCGGATGAAGATAATGAGGCAGCCAGCAGGGGCTGAGGATCCTATTTATGGTGCACCAAGCTTAAAACGGGTGTCAGCAAGAGCAGCAGGAGGAACGTGGGCTGTCAGGTCTGTGACGAACAACAGGAGAATTTCGGGGAACAGTTGCTGCAATAGTAAGATTTTGCCAAATACTGAGAGCAAAAAAGTTAGTGTGCTGCAGGATCACGAATAGAGACAAGTGACTATGAGTTGGTATTTCTCAAAAATGAACTGTCAGGAGTAAGCTTTTATTAATCAAGTGATAATGTTTTGCTGTTGAATGGTACTGTTTGCAGAGTGTGGAAAAATAATGAATCAGAATTCACAGAATATTTGAAATGCTGGTCTACAAAAATAAAATACCCTTGCTTTTAATGACAAAGGAAAACTTGTAGAATTTTCATAGAAATGAAAGCAGGGGACAAATGTAAGTAACAGTAGCAGTGGAACACATGGTAAAAAATGGGCAAAAATGGGCCTCTGGAACTTTCTCTCCTCTCCATTTGTCACTTTCACAGCTTCATGTGGGGCTTTGGTCCCTGCCAGCTTACAGATCATCTTCCTCTTTGAGGCCCCTCTTCAGCCTACTCTGTCCACATCAGCCCCTGTTCACCGACTGCTTTCCAGTACACCTGCTGTGTGTTTTTCATCCTGGAGGATCTTAATTAGAGTATACAGCAGAGAGCTACTGAATCTTATATCAATCTCTAGTTAAACAAATTAACCCTAATGTATATGATCCTTGCAGGAGCATTTTGATTGTTTAAAAAGGACTACAAGATATAGTTTCCTGCATGTTGGTGAGAGAAACATTTTCAGGTTGTTTAGGAGTCCTCCAGGGATTCTCAAGTCACACAAGTTAAACAGTTACATCTCTGCCTCGTATTCAGACTAGCCCGGTATCTAACCCTCACTAAATGAAGTTCATATAAGCATGAAGAACCTCCCATCTCCCCTCATTTTGAGCACAGTATTTTTTTTCCATGACTCTTTTCCTGCTTCCTTGCCTATTCTTTCTAGACATAATCAGAAGGCAATTGATACAATAGAAACAACAAGATGACCTGGACTTAAATCCTGACTTTCCCATCATCTAAATGAGCTGCTTGGCAAGTTAAACCTCTTCAAATCTAAAATTTGTCGGTAAAAACTGGTGATTATACCTACCTTTATAGAGTAGCTGTGAGAACTGTTTGATGCTTGGCACATCATAGGCTCTCAAAAGTCAATTTCTTTTCTGCAAGCCAGAAAGCCATGAAATGAGACTGCCATGTGTTCTCCTGGGCAGCCCAGGCTAGACACGGCCATAGAAAGAATCCCTGATGCCAAGTACACAGGAACAGGGACACTTGTTCTCACGCCACTAAGGGACACATGAGGGAATGTGCCAAGGCTGGAGCCGGGAGACCTGGCTACAAAGTTCAGCTCTGCCACACAAAAGCTGTATGATCTTAGACACTTAAGTGCCTTCCTGAGCCTCCAGGTCTTCAAATGGAAAAGAAGGGTGACACCCATGGCTCTCTCTATTCCAGAAGAGCATGATAAAGATCAAACATAAGTCAAAATGTCTTTGTAACAATAAATTATGCAAGGTAAACATCAGAATTCTAGAAATCCCTTGAGTAGCATAAAGGTAAAGATTGTTAACAACGTTTTTTTTTTTTTGTTTTTTGTTTTTTGTTTTTGTTTTTGTTTTTTGAGACAGGGTCTCACTCTGTTGCCCAGGCTGGAATACAGTGGCATGATCACAGTTCGCTGCAATCTCAATCTCCTGGGCGTCAGCAATCCTCCCAGCTCAGCCTCCTCAGTAGCTGGGACTACAGGCTTGTACCAATATTCCTGGCTGATTTTTTCTATTTTTTGTAGAGGTCTCACTTTGTTGCCCAGGCTGATCTTGAACTCCTGGGCTCAAGCAATTCTCCTGCCTCAGCCTCCCAGAATGTGGGAATTACAGGCATAAGCCACCGTGTCTGGCCTGTAAACAACTTTAAAAGGAGAGCTGATAAATAGTGATTTAAGAATCAATGTCTTGATTTTCAGCCATCTTACTTTCCTCCCAATACAAGATTCAACCTGGCTTCAGATACTAACAACATCTACAAGGTTAAATATATTCTTCTTATTTTAACTTTAAGGCAAAATTAATTTGTGTTTTAGTAATGTTTTAAATGTGGAAATACCAAATATCGAAATACTGAGGTTATGAAATTTATACATGAAGTTAGAGACTTACAACACATAACACATTTCTTAAATTAACCAGAATATTTTTGGATGAAGAAAGCTGTACTTACACCATATCCTATGTAACTCAAACTAAGTTTTGGTTTCCAGAAAGAAATTCATACCAAATTAATGTAACCACTGCTATATATATACTATTGTGACCATGACATTATCTGTTCCAATCACTAGGTCACCTCTTACTCCCAAACAAATTCTTGGAGAGGGGTCACAATGGAAGACAGTCTGAGAAAGGTATTTGTGAGCAGGTGAGATGTTCCCTGAGGACTCTCAACCCATAACTGGGTGAGGTTTTCATCTAAGTGGGACTGCAAGTCCTATGTCAGCTATGAGGGTTAGAGGGATAAAAATATGGATTATTTTGTTTAACGTGACCTGCATGTATATTCATAAGCTGTGGAGCTGAAGAAACATCCTGACACCTGTACTACTTCCTGACATCTATAGATATTCCCATAGACAAAAACGCAAAGAAACAAAATACTGATATAGTACCTCTGGCCCTGAATATTCAACACTGAGAGTCTTCTAAGGTTTCTCAACAGAAGATTTCCAAAGTGAATTGGGTCAAATCCTTTCAATGTCACTTTCCCTGGGTGTATTTTAATTAGGAATAAAATGTATTCACCACCAGCTCTGAATCCTAATACGGTAATTAAATGCACCAGTGGAAAAACCTGTACTGTTTGAACTAACACCATTATCTTAAACTGTTTCATTTGATTTAGTCTCAGTCTCTACAAGGATCTTAAAACAGGATGCCATTATAGGCAAATAGGAACACGTGCACAAATGAATAGGCACAAGGAAAGCCACAGGGTATAGTCCAAGTAGAGAATTATAAGGGGGCGGGAAGGCCAAGAAAGACGCCTTGGGAAACATGGTAGACATAGTGAGGTTAGGGTGTTTCCTTAGCTACAAGTGACTTTTAAGGTCCTGTATTTGCTTTACTTGCAAATAATGAAATAAAAGAACAAGCTTTTCTGGAAAAAAAAATGTATTCTTAAGTTATGGCTTTTCTTTCTAAAATCTCTTGAAAGCAAAACTTTGGTTTAACTTGAATAAGCAAGAGGTTTTGAGGAGGAAGAATCATGGTTTACACACACACTTCTCTTCAAGTAGAGTGGAGAAAGATCACTGGACCCAGGCACAACTGGTACACATTCAAGCCCTACAAGACCACCCATAAGCTGCTGAAACTCTCTAGAAAACATACTTCAATGGGTTACCTAAACTTGATTGACAACAGGTGAAATTCTACCTCGTATACTCTATAAGTTTCGGCGGGCATTAAATTCTGTGTAAGACTCAGTGTTTCCAATTAACCAAGGCAATTTCACCTTCTCCACCTCCATCACCTCCCAGAAAACACCTGTCTGTATAAAGCAGCTCCTCCTGGGAATAGTCACAGATTTCTTCCCACCCACCAACACCTTTGAATGCTTGCTACATTCCAGGGAACAAGGGACATCACTTCCCCTCCATGTGCCCCAGATCCATCCTTTGTGGAAAGAACCTTCTGCAAATGTACAGTGTGATATCCCCAGGGTACCTTGACACTGGTTTTGGTTCTCTTTGCCTGGTCAAAGTCTTTGCCCATTTCCTTCATGGATTATTTATTTTTATTAGGAACTCTTGTCATTAGCTGACAAGCTAGCTGGTATTCCCATAAGCCTTTTTAGCTCCTCTGGTAGGAGATAAGGTTACCTCACACTCCAAGTTGTCAACTCCTCCAGATCAGAGTCCATGGCTTTTTCTCTGTGCCCCCAAATTTTGTTTAATGCTTGTAAAAAAAAAAAAAGCAAATACTGTACCCAGTAATTCCTGTTAAACCAACAAGCATAGATAGGAAGACAAGCCTTCTTATGCCACTCTACATGAGTGACTAATTGCCTTGAGAGCAAAAGGTTTCCACAGTTTTGTAATCCTTCAGAAGATCTCCTAAGAATGTCCTGTAGAACCTACCTGGGTTTTTCCAGGGCTCCCAGAAAGGCTGACTCTCAGTTACCTGTTCTCACCCCTTTTTTCCATTCTGTACAAATCTCACAAGAGAGAAGCACTGCTTTCCTCACTGAGGAGTGACTAGTAGATCCAAATTTCAACTGCAGAGTATAGAGGGTTCAATAGTGTCCCCCCCCACCCAAATTCATGGCCACCTGGAACCTCAGACTATGACCTTATTTGGGAATAGAGTCTTTGCAGGTGTAATTAGTTTAGAATCTCTAGATGAGATATCCATCCCAGATTATGATGGGCCCTAAATCCAATGACAAGTGTCTCCATAAAAGAAATAATACAGAGGTTTTCAGCAGAAACATAGAAGAGCTGCAAAGAAGGCTACATGAAGACAAAAGCAGAGACTAGAGTGAGTCAGCTACAAGCCAAGGAATGCCAGGATTGCAGGGAGACTTGATTTCAAACTTCTGGCCTCCAGAACTGCAAGAGAATGTGTTAAGTCACCCTATTTGGGGTACTTTGTACAGCAGCCTTAGGAAAGAAATGCATAGAGAAACAGTCAACCTTAATATGCCCAAACCTGTCCTTCACTTTCTGCCATCCCCTTTTACCTAATCTCAGGTTCTGAGAATATAATCTGATAGACGTTGATGAAGACAGTGGGGAATAGTAAAATATCAGCTTCAGAATCAGATTGTATGCCACAAATGTGACTGTGCCATTGAGTTACACGATGTGTGCTTCTTTTTCTGGCAAAAAGTAGTACATTCCTCTCAGAATGAGATGATTCTGAGAATTTAGTGAGATGATATGGATAAGGATACCTTGAAAGTTTTAAAATAACCTAGTGTATCTTGATTAAAACTGGAACGTAGGCCCATATGTCAGAGTGATATGATGCAAAAAGAAACATTTACCAAGTTAAATGTTAATAATCTCTAAGGTGATTAAGCTAATCAGTCTTGGTCACACATTGGAATTACCTGGAGATCTTTCTAAACCTATATAAGTCCCACCCCAAACTATCCTCTGTGAGTGGGGGAGGCATTGCTAATTTTTTTCATAGTCTCCCTTGTGTAGCCTTCCAAATTTGTTTTCATTTCACCAGACACGCTTCTTTTAATAGATCATATCTACTGATGTCACCAATAATTTCCTCTCCTCATGTCCCATCATAGAAAAATGGGACAAAAGAATGAGGGCTCAGATGCAGAAAAACAGTCATACCCTGGTGACCCTTGCTAATATCCCTAACAGCACAGACACTTGGTGACAAGACACCACTGAATACAGCTTTTATCTCCATGGCAAATTTCACAGTTAAGATGGCTGAAAATAAACCCTTCTGCTTTAGTGCTTGAGCATGCACAGTGGCTGTTTATTATTCTATGATGTCTACTGTTTTGCTGTTGATGGTGTGCATGTATGTATGTGCGTGCACGTGTGTATGTGTGTGTGTTCCAGTTAGCAATGCCTAATTTGATATTTTCTATCTATCCCCATTCTTTTAGCTTATTCCAGTGCCTAGCCGTACAAAAACTTCCAATAATGCAGCATAGCAAAGCCCTTTAAACATAATCCATATTTTGCTTCCTTAGTGAAGAGGCATTGATTATCTTCCCATCTCAAGCGTGTATAACAAATAAGTCATTTCTGCAGTCACGGTGCATCATAATGCATCCCAAAATAAATATTATTAAAGCAGATAGCTTTGAATCTCAAATATAGAGCAAACCTTAAGAAAAGCTGGCAGTGTCCTTGGTGATAGAGTTGCCTGTTGCCATGGGAATGAGTCCAAAGATTCTGTGACATTTCCAGGGACCACATAAGCTAAGTGGAAAGGACTCCTTTTAGACATCAACCCTGTGCTCATATATTTACCTGGTAAAATTCTAGAGAAGGAAAAACTCAAGATGAAAGGAATATATAAGTAGTCTCTATGTGACTCAGGCATTACAAAATTTCTATCTGAATGTTCTTTTAAGTTGTTATATAAACTGTGAAAAAGCAAAATGAGAGAAAATAACAACAGACTGCCTAAATTGTAATCCCATTAAACCTTGAAGTATAATGTATGGGATAACAATATTCTCACTGAAAATACCAGTAGACTTCTCATTTTCATGTCTCTAACTCTTCCCCAAGACAAGCAGTACTAAGCTTTGCAATTCACACAATCATGAGGCCTGTAGGTACAAGTGTAGCCACTCCATTGCCTACCTTCATGCACATTTTGTCTTAATCTGGGTTTCAAATAAGCATACTAAGGATTAAGCTGACTGGTTTTGCTGCCACAGACATGGAACCAGGAAGTTATTCTGACTTGATATAACTCTGTTCTTCATCACGGAACTCATGTTTGGAAGTAGTGATGAAAGTTGGCCTAATCAGCAGTCCGTGGACACTGTGAGGTCATCGCCAAGAAATAAGTAGCTTAGTTCTGCATTCACAGGGGTAGGGAGTCATTGGCCGCACCCCTACCAGCCTGTACCTCAGGAAGGTCCATCCTTTTCCAAAAGTTGCTGCATTTTGGATATTAGGTTTAAAAAAAAGGAATTGCCTGTCTTCAGCCTCTTTTGAACTGTAAAAATGGCAATTTCCGCCTAATAAATTGTTATTCTGCTAGGCTCTACTTAAAATGCAGCTACTAAATATTTTTATTTGATATTTAAAATGCTGTATGGTTTAAAAATCTATATAATATGTATAGATGTAACTATATCACTTACCTATGCCCTATCTAACCTGGCAAAAGGAATTTATTTTTTAGACATTTCTATATTTTTTAATAAGTATCAAGTATTTACTATGTGTCAGGCACTGTGCTAAGAACCATGTGTGTGTGTTTTTAATAATTTAAGACAATAACTATGTGGTAGATAAAATTATTACCCAATTTTAAGATCAAATTGAGGCTAAAGCAGGTGGAATATTTTGTCCTAGTTCTTATAGCCCAGAAGATGTGAAGCGAGACTTTGACCTTGGGCAGTCAGACTCCAGAGCATAACCAATCAGGGTCTATGGTGCGTTGGGTCTGGAAAGGGTTTTGGGGTGCATTTAATCTAGTGCTTTCTTCATTTTTTTTAACAGCAGCAGAAAGCTGTTACTAAGCAAAACTTTATGTGGAACTCCCAGTGATAAAGCACTGGGAACAGAGCTGCCTTGGTCTGCTTGGAGAAAGCAGGGACTGTTGAGACTGACCCCACCGGGCATTTACACCTTTTTAAAATTGTAGGGCACCATTGTGTCCCTGCTTCCAGGAGTCATGCAGCAGCCCATTATGTCCAGCTGCAAGTTTTTGCTGTCTCCAGGAAACCTGTGTTATGGGAGAACTCCCCCATGTCAATACATCCCCTTCTGCAAACACTGTATTCTATTTCCCCTGATCCAACATTTTCAAAAGCCCATCCCACATGGGTTCTCCTGGTTTCACCAGTATACATTAGCCAGTTTTCTCCATGAGTAAGCTATGTTCTCCAGGAGCAGGGACTTACTCCCTTCTATGCTGAGCCCTTACCTCAGGTACTGGTCTGGAGGAATAAAGCAAGGTGATGATGAATCTTGAGGAAGACAAGCCTCACCTCCCATGGCATCTTTCTCAGGTCAAGGTTGTAATGGTCTCCAGGCTGCTTTCTCCACCTCCAGACACGGAGAAAGAGGCTGCTTCTGCTGACTGAGATAGCCCAGAAGAATCTGGAGGCTCTAGCATTTTTGGACTCATGCATCCAAATATTCCCATCTTAAGTCTTCTTTATCAGGGTCCTCATTTTCTGCGCAGGAAACCTGTCACTCCTGTGCATTTTCTCCCCTTATCTCTGCAATGCAGGCCTGATTTTCAACACAGTCTGCCTGTGGCTCTATGAGAAGAGAATCTCTTTAAATGCTACCTTGAAGGACTTTCAGATTTTACGATCACTCTGAGTTGATAGTTGGCTAAACTGATCCAGTGGTTTTCTTTCTTGAGGACTTTTGTAGCCAGTGCCATAATCTTTTAAGTTACCACGACTCTCCTACTATTCCGGTGCTAGAGCTATTGGGTGGGTAAATCCTTCGCCTCCCACCTGTACCTCATCTGAATCTACCCAGGTGAGTCTGTTTTGGGGACGCTTCAGCGTGCCACAGGTTACATCAGGAATCAGTCACTTACCACTAGCAAAAGGTCCTTGTTACTATTTGACGGGTGAGTGAGTGTTGCAGAATCTATCCTAATCAGCTGCTTTCGAAAGCTATTCCTGATACCAGCTGGCTTGCCTTAGCTTCCCCGCAAATCAGTGCCTGAAACGAGACCTGTGTGTTAGTAGTCTATTAAGAGCTGATTCCAGGGCAGAGGAGTGAGCCACCAGGAAGAGTAAGAAAGGGGGAAAACAACAACAATATAGGCCAGTCACTGCTGTTGCAACAGTGATGGCAAGGGTTTGGTTTCACCAGGACTTCCTGAGCAGCATAAAAAGTATCTCCCAAATTTGTCCCATGGGAGGACTAGAGGCAGAGAGTTTTATTATTCGCTATGTCACACTTTTCACCAAAGTAATCTAGAAGCTCAGAGCTGACCCTTAGAGAATGATAGTAAATTCACTTGCTAACATTAGCCATATTCCAAGGTACCAAGTCTGGAAATACGGCAAAAGAGATTACATTGTTTTGAATACATAAACATGAAAAACATCAGCTACCCTTGCTATACAAAGGGCAGCCTACTATATTAAACTCAAATTATAATAATGCCCTTTTTCAGAGATAGGATACACAGTAACAACAGATACATTTGGGAAGAAGTTCAGGGTTTTTTTGGCGGGGGTGGGAGGTGGTTGAGATGGAATTTCACTCTTATCACGCAGGCTGGAGTGCAATGGCACTATCTTGGCTCACTACAACCTCTGCCTCCTGGGTTGAAGCAATTCTTCTGCCTCAGCCTCCCAAGTAGCTGAGATTACAGGTGTGTGCCAGCATGCCTGGCTAATTTTGGTATTTTTAGTAGAGACGGGCTTTCACCATGTGGCCCAGGCTGGTCTCAAACTCCTGACCTCAGGTGATCTGCCCGCCTTGGCCTCCCAAAGTGCAGGGATTACAGGCATGAGCCACTGCGCCCAGCCAGAAGTTCAGTTTTAAAATGTAGAATTACTGTACCTGCAAAAATATTCCAGTGGAGACTAAACAATTCCAGAACGAATCCTTTAGTAAAAGTCAGCTTTTCCTGAAGCAAAGTATGATATTCCTTATGTAATTTCTGTTAGCTAATTTATTATATGTTAGTTGCTTTATAACCTTCATGAATCAGATATTTATAGGACATTTCCTATATTCCAGGTACTGTACTAGAAGCCAGGGGTAGCGTGGTGAATAAGACAGATGAGGTCTCTGCATGTTTATATTTTACTTGGAGAAGGCAGATAATAAACAAGGAAGCCAACAAATAAACAGAATGCTCCAAAGAAATAAAACAGTAATTAGCTGGAGAATATTTGGGGACATTACTTCAGATTGTGTGGTCAGGGAAGGTCATTACAAAAAGGCAACATTTGAGACCAGAATGACACAAAGAAACCAGTCACTGGGAGAGAAAAGATCTAGTACAGAGACAGGTATAATCTCGGTGGGTTTGAGCTTAGAATACAATGGCAGAGGGACCAGCAGACGCTAAAGGCAGTAAGTAGGCAGGAACAAGAGTTCGTAAGTCATAAGGATCATGCTTAGGAATTTGGGTTTTAAGTGCAATCAGAAGCTATTTGACGGTTTTAAGTAGAAGCATGACACAACTGTACACACACATATATCGTTAGACAGATACAGGTATACACATATATACATACATTTCTTTCATTCACTCTGACTACTGTGGAGAAAAACAGACTAAAGGGAATTTAGTTGGAAGCTTTTTCAATAACCCTGACAAGACAATGATAGGTGATACAAGTAGATGACAGAATTCTAGATAGAAAGAAGCAGGAAGATCCCAGGATATCTTTAGGAGGAGGTGCTGACAGAAATTGGTCATAGATTGGATATGGGCAGTGAGAGGAGTTGACATGAAGATGGCCTTCTGGAATTCTAGCCTGAGCTTCTAGGAAGATGTTGATGCAGCTGAGTAAGAGGGAGAAGACTGGGGGGAGGACAGGTCGTAAGGGGCACGTACTTGTTGAGAAATCAAGACTTTTTACATGATGTTTTGACTTTAAACTCTTCTAGTTATGACGGTAGAGAATACTGCCGGCATGTTTATGACTTAAGAAAGGAGGCGGAGTTTGCAGCAAGCCGAGATTGAGATCGCGCCACTGCACTCCAGCCTGGGCAACACAGCAAGACTCCGTCTCAAAGCAAAAAAAAAAAAAAAAAAAGGAAAGAAGGCCTTATTTTGTAAATTGTAACAAAGAGGCATTCCCTGCACGTACCTTGAGGAAAGAACACAATCTATCACTGATAAAAAATGAGCCCAGTCTTATTCTATTCGTGGAATATATTTTTCATAATTATTTAGAAACTGTTGAAGGACAGAAGTAATGAATGAACACTTTCTTACTCAGAAATTTATTTTAAATCTTAGAGGTGTCAAAATGTTCTCTACAAACAAAATTTGGTAAAATCTGACACTGTTAACAAATGAACAAATATAGAAACAAATTTTAATAGCATTTTTTCTTGCAATTTGATTTTTAAAGTAGCAGAATTATAATTCCTTAAATTGTCATGTTGAATTCCTCCTCACAACTAAATTGAATTGAAGGCACAGAGAAATTGATAGTAAAGAACTCTATTGTGATATTTCAACCAAAACAAAAGCCTCCTCACTTGATGACTGCTACAATACACAGCTTCAGTGTGAAAGCCCTTTGTTTTCACAATGCAGGGTGGTTCACCATGAAATGTCTGGCCCATAGAACAGGTTCAGAAACATGTCTTCTTCTAGAAGAATTAATCAGTTAGAAGTTAGAATGGCACATAGGAGTCAAAAATCCAATAAAGATGGCACAAGGATAATAGAGGATTTGAATTGTTGGAGGAGCAAATGCAGAGTGTTGACTTATTTTTGTATGGTGGCCTATGAGTGATGTTTTTAAATTTTTCCAGACAGCTTGGTATTTCTTTTGCTTGAAAGGCTAATTGAAAATTTGAGCACAAGAGGGAATCAATGAACAGATCATGGAAACAAAGAAAAATATCCAAAGTGTAGTGGAGCAGCAACAAGAAGACTGCCACAAGAAGGGAGAGAAGAAATTCGGAATAAGCAGCTATAATTGTAAACCAGGATCTTTTACCATGTGCCCCCCTGTTGCTCTGCCGAAAGGAATACAGGCCTTCATAGGTACTATCCACTGAAATCTGACCCAAATTTGATGGCAAAGAGGTTGGAATACTGCAAATTCAATGTGTTATTTAGGCTTTTTTTTTTTAACCTAACTCCTTATATTCTATGAAGGAAAAATCAGAATGCATAGTGTCTCAAGTATAGATATACTGATGAGAGACTGTGCAGAAAATCTAAAATCTGGACTCTCCAGCTTGCAAGGTCAAATTACTTATATTCTATGCGCTGATTGTTAGCAACTGTATTTTCTAAGTAAAACAGATAAAGAGAACTTTAAAAATATAAATATTAATATTAGCTACTGAGCTAAACTTTTAATCATTGAATAGCTACAATGCCCTTAAGATTTTATGTGAATAGAACTTTTTTCCATTCAGCTGTGTCTCATTACTTTCATTAAAGATAAGAGGTGCTGTATAATATTTATATAAAAGCTATTGTTATTCTCGCCTATGTCAATGGTTTGTTTTTCCCAACAAGTAATTGTGAATTCCTTGTTGAGAAATGCTGAAATTTGTGGTTACATAAATAAAAGACAGTTAAAAGGACTTCTAAGCAATGTGTCAGAAGCTGTTAGTATGTTTGTTTGCTTTAGTAATTCTAAAATCTAAACATTTATATATTATCTTTTATGAAGACATAGTACAGAGGAGATGACAATATTTATGTGGCACATTTGGAAATGGACCAATGCAGACACAAAAAAATCAGTAGAGCAGCATCCAATCTACAAAACAACAGACAAAAAATGAACAAACTACAGTTTTCCCTCAGCAACTGAGGAGGAATGGTTCCAGGACCTCCCTTGAATACAAAAATGTGCAAATACTCAAGCCTCTGATATAAAGTGATATAGTATTTGCATGTAACCAAAGCACATTCTCCCATATACATTAGATCATCTCTGGATTACTTATATTTAATACAATGTAAATGCTATGTAAATAGTTGTTATACTAGCTTGTTTAGGGAATAATGACAAGAAAAAAGTCTATACATGTTCATTAGAGATGCAATTTTTTTTCCAAATATTTTCCATTGTGGTTGATTGGAATCCAAGGATGTGGAACCCATGAATATAGAGGGCTAACTGTATACACATTCCTATAAGTATATATTCCAACTTACATATCTATTTTCTAAAATGTAAGTATATACGTTGTATACATAATGTATATAGGTATATATATTTCATATATATATTTCCATACAGCTTGGTATTTCTCTTGCTTGAAAGGCTAATTGAATAGAATATATACAACTCCTCTAAGATTTAAAATACATTTTGGAGTAAGAAAATATTCATTCATTACTTCTGTCCTTCTTCCACAGTTTCTAAACAATTATGAAAAATATATTTCACAGATAGAATAAGACTACAATATAATATATATTATTGGAGATATATATATATATATATATATATATATATATATCCAATATATGTATTCATTTTTCCCAATCTGGGCCTGTGGAAATTTGAAGACTTTAGGAAGAATTTAGAGCCTAGAAGACCATTTTTTATGTAATGTCACCATGATGCCAATAACATGCTCACTATGATCACTATGATAAAGAAAGGAATCCAAATGCCTATCATTGCATCCTCAGAACTTCCTTGAGTTTAAACTGAGATCAACTATGCCCTAAAGATATTCTGAATGACTTACTTTCTGGTTTCCTTTATCTTGTTCACAAGATACTGCTAAAATTCCTGTAAATGAATGAAAGTTCACTAAATAAGTAGCCAGTCAATATAACTTTTAGGATCTACTAGAGAAACAAATATGCTTTGGTTTCCCCAGTAGCCAAATGAAGATTTTAAAAACTGTTGTAAAACATTAGGAATGTTGCAAAACAAATCATTTCATAGGTACTATCCACTGAAATGAAATTATTATACCATTTAGGAATAAAATAAACCACTGGGTGCAGTGTCTTGCTCCTGTAATCCCCACTACTCAGAAGGCTAAGGCAGGAAGATTACTTGAGCCCAGGAGTTCATGACTAGCCTGGGCAATGTAGCTGGATCCCATCTCTAAAAATAATAACACAATTTTATTTTAAAACCATGTAAAGTCATTCCCCTTTATTACCATATAGTTCTTTTTTTATTAGGAAGTGAAACACTTACACTTTGGTATGCTTTGGGTCCTTACCCCTAACATAAGAAGATCACTAAATAAATAACATCAGATCCTGCAGCTTAAGACCAAATATTTAATTTTTCACTCAAATTTATGTAAGAGCTTTAATTACATAAAAGCTGAAAAGAAAATCTACAAGAATAAATGCATGCCATTTCTTAAGGAAAAAAACAGGTTTAGGTAAAACATTACAAAAGTAATCAGAAAAACTCAGAATGAATCGTACAAAAATATCTTGTAATATAAAGTAAGATACTATAATACAAGACCATGCAACATAAAGAAACAAGAGTAATGGAAGGTCACACTTGTAAAAGTTTTAAATTGAATTAGCATCTCTTTTATACTCAAATTTAAGAAGACCTGATTTCTATGAAATAAGAAATTCCAGTGCCATTAATTATTGTATGACCTTATAAAAATTGCTTAATTTATTTGTGGAATACTATAATTTTCAAAAATGGCAACCACAACATTTCTGGTTTTACATACTCTTCCAGAACCTCACTGTTACATCATCAAGAGTTAATGTTTATCCCACCCGCCTCCCTGATATTGGGTGTACCTTTGTGGCTGTTTCAATGAATATAATGTGATAGAAATGATCTATGTGACTTGTAAAGCTAGGTAGTTCATAATATGTAGAACAATTTCTTCCTGGCTTGCTCTATCTAGGAACACTCACTCTTGGGACCCAACCACTATGTTGTGAAGAAGCCTAGGCCACATGCAAAGACTACTTAAAGGTTTTCTAGCTAAGATCTAAGCCAACAGTCAGCATCTATTGCCAGGTATGGGCAAGAACAAGCCTCCAGATAATTCCAGTCTTATTCCTTCAAATTACCCCCAAGTGATGCCAGTAGAACAGAAATGGGCACCCAAGTTGAACCCTACCTAAATTGCAGATTTGTAAACAGAATAATGGGCTTCAGGTTTTGGTGTGATTTGTTATGGAGCAGTAGATAGGCAGAGCACTCTTTAAGCCTCAGTTTCCTCTTTTGAAATGAGAATTATAATAAGACTGTATTAGTCTATTTTCATACTGCTATGAAGAAATACCCAAGACTGGGTAATTTATAAAGAAAAAGAGTTCTAAGTGATTCACAGTTCAGCAGGGCTAGAGAGTCCCCAGGAAACTTACAATCGTGGCAGAAGGGAAAGCAAACATGTCGTTCTTCACATAGCAGAAGCAAGGAGAAGTGCCAAGCAAAAGGGGGAAATGTCCCTTATAAAACCATCAGATCTCGTGAGAACTCACTCACTATCATGAGAACAGCAGCATGGGTGGAATCTCCATAATTCAATTACCTCCCATGGGGTCCCTCCCATAACACGTGGGGATTATGGGAACTACAAGATGAAATTTGGGTGTGGACACAGCCAAACCATATCATTCTGCCCCTGGCCCCTTCCAAATCTCATGTCCTTCTCACATTTCAAAACACAATTATGCCTTCTGAGCAGTCCCCCAAAGTCTTAACTCATTCCAGCATCAACCCAAAAGTCCAAGTCCAAAGTCTCATCTGAGACAAGGCAAGTCCCTTCTGCCCATGAACATGTAAAATCAAAAGCAAGTTAGTTACATCCTAGACACAATGGGGCTACAGGTATTATGCAAATACACTCATTCCAAACGGGACAGACTGGCCAAAACAAAGGGGCTATAGGCTCCATGCAAACCTGTAGCTGAAAACCAATAGGGCAGTCATTGAACTTTAAATTTCCAAAGTGATCTCCTTTGACTCCATGTCTCACATCCAGGTCACACTGATGCAAGAGGTGGGCTCCCATGGCCTTGGGAAGCACCACCCTTGTGTCTTTGCAGGGCACAGACTCCCCACCCCCCACACCCAGCTGCTTTTAAGGGCTGGCGTTCAGTGTCTGCAGCTTTTCCAGGCACATGGTGCAAGCTCTCAGCCGATCAAGCATTCTGGGGTCTGGAGGATGGTAGCCCTCTTCTCACAGCTCCACTAGGCAGTGCCCCAGTGGGGACTCTGTGTGGGAGCTCCAACCCACATTTTCCTTCCACACTGCCCTAGCAGAAGTGCTCCATGAGGGCCCCACCCCTGCAGCAGATTCTTCCTGGATGTCCAGGAAAAATGGCATTTCCATACATCCTCTGAAATCTAAGTGGAGGTTCACAAACCTCAATTCTTGACTTTTGTGCACCTGCAGGCTCAACATCACATGGAAGTTGCCAAGGCTTGGGGCTTGCACCTCTGAAGCAATGGCCTGAGCTGTACCTTGGTCCCCTTTAGCCATGGCTGGAGCAGCTGGGACAGAGAGCACCAAATACCTAGGCTGCACACAGCAGGGGGGCACTGGGCCAAGCCCATGAAACCATTTTTTCCTCCTAAGCCTCCAGGTCTGTGATGGGAGGAGCTACTGTGAAGGTCTCTGACATGCTCTGGAGACATTTTCCCCATTGTCTTGGTGAATAACATTTGGCTCCTGGTTACTATGCAAATTTCTGCAGCTGGTTTGAATTTCTCCCCAGAAAATGGGTTTCTTTTCTATCACATCATTAGGCTGCAAATTTTTCAAACTTCTATTCTCTGCTTTCTCTTGAACACTTCACTGCTAAGACATTTCTTCCCCCAGATACCCTATATCATCTCTCCCAAGTTAAAAGTTCCACAGATCTCTAATGAAGGGGCAAAATGGCACCAGTCTCTTTGCATAGCAAGAGTGACCTTTACTCCAGTTCCCAAAAAGTTTCTCATCTCCATCTGAGACCACTTCAGCCTGGACCTTATTTTCCATATCATGATCAGAATTTTAGTCAAAGCCATTTAACAAGTCTAGAGGCAGTTCCAAACTTTCCCTCATTTTCCTGTCTTCTAAGCCTTCCAAGTCTCTAGGAAGTTCCAAACTTTCCCACATTTTCCTATCTTCTTCTTAGACCTCCAAACAGTTCCAACCTCTGCCTGTTATCCAGTTCCAAAATTGCTTCCATATTTTTGGGTTTCTTTATAGCAGCATCTCCATAGCATCAATTTACCATATTAGTCCATTCTCACACTGCTAATAAATTAACTCAACCTGGGTAATTTACACAGGAAAAAGGTTTAATTGACTCACAGTTCTGCAGGGCTGGGGAGGCTTCAGGAAACTTACAATCATGGTGGAAGGGGAAGCAAACATGTCTTTCTTCACATAGTGCCAGCAAGAAGAGCCAAGCAAAAGTGGGAAAAGCCCTTTATAAAACCATCAGATCTTGTGAGAACTCACTCACTATCCCAAGAACAGCAGCATGGGGTAACCACACCCATTATTCAATTACCTCCCACCAGGACCCTCCACAACATGTGGGGATTATGGAAACTACAATTCAAGATGAAATTTAGGTGGGGACACAGCCAAAACATATCAAATACCAACCTCTAAGATTGCTTTTGTTTTTGTTTTTGTTCTTTTTTTTGTTTTTGAAACAGAATACGAATGCAGAAAATCTGAGACAGGTCTCAGTTAATTCAGAATGTTTATTTTGCCAACATTGAGGATGCACCCATGATACAGCCTCAGGAAGTCCTAAGGACATGTGCTCAAGGTGGTCAGGTCACAGCTTGGTTTTATACATTTTAAGGAGACATGAGACATCAATCAATATATGTAAGCAGTACATTGGTTTGGTCTGGAAAGGCAGGACAACTTGAAGCAAAGGCAGGAAGGCTGGAAGCAGGGAGGGAGCTTCCAGGTCACAGATAGGTGATACACAAATGGTTACATTCTTTTGAGTTTCTGATTAGTCTTTCCAAAGGAGGCAATCAGATAAACATCTATCTCAGTGAGCAGAGGGGTGACTTTGAATAGAATGGAAGGCAGGTTTGCCCTAAGCAGTTTCCAGCTTGAGTTTTCCTTAGTGATTTGGGGGGCCCAAGATATTTTCCTTTCACAAGGGTCTCACTCTGTTGCCCAGGCTAGAATGCAGTGGTGCAATCATGCTCACTGCAGCCTTGATCTCCCAGGCTCAAGCAATCCTCCCACCTCAGCCTCCTGAGTAGCTGGAACTACAGGTGTGCACCACCATGCATGGCTAATTGTTTTTATTTCTTATAGATATAGGGTCTCACTATGTTACCTAGGCTGGTCTTGAATTCCTGGGCTCAAGCAATCAATCTTCCCATCTTGACCTCCCAAAGTGCTGGAATTACAGGCATGAGCCACCACACCTGGCCTCTAAGGCTGTATTGAGAACTAAGCAAGATTATGCATGTAAGCATTGAACACAGTACTTCACATATAGAAGACATAGTAAATGTTAACTATTAAAGATGTAATTTTCAGACAATCAATCATAAGAAAAAAGAAGGAGCTGGATGAGGAGATAAATAAGAAATGCTTTGACATGCAAAATGTGGTCAAGTACTATAAAGGAAAAGGGTATAAAGTTGAATTTTTGTTGTATAGGAAAGGTACAAGAATACGTCCCATGATTCAAAGAAAAGTGAAGAAAATTAACATGATTAAAGATGAGGGAAAGGATATAATGATGATATGGCCAAAGCTGTTCCCAAAGAATCCAGAGCAGCTGCAACAAAAGCAAATATTTCATATTCTTATATATTTCCATGTGTGTGCTGTGTGCATGTATGAGTGTGTGTTTCTAATTTCCAAACACAAACATACATGCACACTGCACATGCAAAAAAAAATAAAAATTTGAAAAAGAAAACATCTATAAACTGAAAAAAGCTCAATCTATGAATTCACTAATTCCAAGACAAAAGAAAAATTCAACTATCTTTTTTTTTTTTTTTTTTTTGAGACCAGTCTTACTCTGTCACCCAGGCTGGAGTGCAGTAGCATGATCTTGGCTCACTGCAACCTCTGCCTCCCGGTTCAAGTGATTCGCCTGCCTCAGCCTCCCGGGTGGCTGGGATTAAAGGTGGCTGCCACCAAGCCCGACTTATTTTTTTTTTTTTTGTAGTTTTAGTAGAAACAGGGTTTTGCCATGTTGCCCAGGCTAATTTCAAACTCCCGAGCTCAGGCAATCTGCCTGCCTCAGCCTCCCAAAGTGCTGGGATTACAGGCGTGAGCCACTGCACCCAGACAAATTCAACTATTATATTTTTTAAAAGCTGCCTTAAAATTATTAACTGAGAGGTGCTCCTATGTATTTCTAAGAGCTTTTTTGAGATATAATTCCATAAAACAAACTGCACATATTCAAAGTATACAATTTAAATTTTGACATATGTCTAACATGTGAAAACACCACCACAATCAGGATAATGAGCACATATATTATTCCCAAATATGTCCTTATCCACTTTGTAATCTCACACTCCCCATTCCACACTGACCCCAGGTAACCACTTATCTACTTTTTGTTACTATTCATTAGTTTGTGCTTCCAGAAATGTATGTTACTGGACATACAGCATGTACTTTTTGTCCAAGTTATTTAACTCATCATTTTGAGATTTGGCAATTTGTGTCTTTTAAGGAATTTGCCCATTTCACTGAAGTTGTAGAATTTATCAGCAGAAAGTCTTCATAATGTTTGCCTACTATCCTTTAATATCCTTAAAATTTGGAGTGATGTATTCTCACTCGTTTTTTTGATTCAATATTGAAATGATGTCTGATCTTACCTTGATATTGGTAATTTGAGTGTTCCTTTTTTCCTTGTTTGACTAGAGGTTTATTAATTTTATTGATCTTCCCAAAAATTCAACCTTTTTGTTTTATTGATTTTCTCTATTGTTTTCTATCTTATTGATTTCTACTCTAATCTTTATTCTCTTTTTTCTACTTTGAACTTAATTTTCTCTTTTTTTTTCTAGTTTCTTAAGATGAAAATGGAAGTCTTTGGTTTGAGAAATTTCTTTTTTTCTAATACATGTGTTAACTGCTATAAATTTGCTTAGTGTTAGTGTTATCCCATGAATTTGGATGTTTTGACACTTAAATTCAAAGTACTTTCTAATTTCCTTTTTAATTTCTTCTTTGATACAGGAGTTATTTAGAAGTGAGTTATTTAGTTTTTAAATATGTTGAGATTTTTCAAAGATGTTTCTTTTATTGATCTCTAATTCCTTTGTGGTCAGAGCACATACTTTATATAACATTAATTGTTTTACATTTATTGAGATGTGTTTTATGACCCAGAAAATGGTCTATATTGGTAACTGTTTTCTGTGTACTTGAAAATAATATGTACTCTGCTGTTGGTGGTGCAGTGTTCCATAAATGCCAATTACGTCCAGGTAGTTGATCATATAATTTAAATCATCTATATCCTTAATGATTTCCTGTCTAGTTGTTTTCTCCATTGAGAAAGATATGTTGAAAATTCTGACTATAATTGTGTAATTGTGTGTTTCTCCTATCAATTCCACTGGTTTTTGCTTCATGTATTTTGAAGCTCTGATATTAGTTGTATAAATACTTAGGGTTATTACATCTTCTTGATGAACTGATACCTTAATTATTATGTAATAACTTTCTTTATGCCTGGCAATATTCACTGCTCTGAAATCTACATCTCATATTAATATATCCACAGCAGCTTTCTTCTGACTTGTGTTATCATGGTATATCTTTTCCAGTTCTTTTCCTTTAAACTAATTGTGTCCTTATATTTGAATTGTGTTTCTTGTAAGCAGCATATTGTTTGGTCTTTTCATTTTATTCAGTCTGACAATTTCTGCCTTTTAATTTCATTACTTATACAGTTTACAATACAATAAGAGATTTAAGTAATATACCTTTTTCAGTAGTGCCTCAATATCAGCAGAAGATTGGTTCCAGGCCTCCTCATTCACTGCCTGCAAATACCCCATTCACCCCTTGCAAATACCAAAATCCATAGATGTTCAAGTCTTTTTCATAAAATAACATAGTGTTTGCATATAATCTTTATGCATCTTCCTGTATACCTTAAATTATCCCTAGATTACTCATAATACCCAATTAAATGTAAATGCTATATAAATAATTGTACTGTATTTTTATTTGTATTTAATTTTGTATTGTTATTTTTATCAGTTTTTAAGTATTTTTAATCCATTGTTGGTTGAATCCACAGATGCAGAACCCCTAGATACAAAGGGCCAGCTATATTTATCCCTGCAGTTACTATTTCTAGCTCTCTCTCTTCATCTGTTTTTGTACATCCATATTTTGACCTGGCATCATTTTCCTTCAGCCTGAAGGATTTCCTTTAACATTTCTTATAATGTAAGTCTACTGGTGATGAATTGAGCTTTTGAAAATTTTTTTGTATAACCTTCATTTTTGAATAGGTATAGAATTCTAGAATTCATTTTTACTGGGTATAGAATTCCAGGATTACAGTTTTTGCTTTGTTTTCAATACTTTAAAGAAGTTGCTCCACCGGCATCTCATCTGCACAGTTTACAATAAGACATACGCTGTCTTTCTTATTTTCTCTGTACATGTCTTTTTTTACTGGCTGCTTTTAAGATTATCTCATTATCACTACTTTTGAACTATTTGGCTACAATATGCCTTGGTTGTTGCAATGGTTTGAAGGTGTCACCAAAACTCATGTGTTGGAAACTTAATTGGACTCCCTATGCCAGAGTGTTGGGAAGTGGGGCCAAGTAAGAGGTAATTGGGTCATGAGAGCTCCACCCTCATGAAAGGTGTTGTCATCGGAGTGGGGTAGTTGTAGAGGAGGTGGCTTTGTTATAATAGCAAAACCTCCTTCATATGGGCTCTCTTGACCTTCCACCTTTTGCCCTTCTGGCATGGAATTACACTCACCAGATGCCAAAGCCATGCTCTTGGACTTCTCAGCCTCCAGAACTGTAAACCAAATAAACTTCTTTTCTTTGTAAATTACACAATCTGTGGCATTCTATTACAGCAGCAGAAAACAGACTAACTTGTTTTTCTCATGTTTCTTGTCCTTGGAATTTTTGAGACACTTGGATCTGGAGGTTATAGTTTTCATTACAAATGAGAAATTTTTAGCCATTATTTCTTCAAATTATTTTTCTTTCCTGCTCTTCTCTCCAGTTTCATACATATTAGATTCTTGAAGCTATTTCACTATTCTCTAATACCCTGTTCATTGTTTAAATTCTTTTTATTTCTCCTTTTATAACCCTTTTACTGAGATAATTTACATACCATAAAATTCACTCTTTAAAATATACAATTAAATAGCTTTTAGTACATTCACAAATTATGTAAACAAACATCATCATTATTTCTAATTCCAGAACATTTTCATCACACCAATAAGAAAACTCATACCCATTAGCAGTCACTCCCAGACCCCCACAGCCACTGGCAACCATTAGTCTACTTTCTATCTCTACTGATTTGCCTATTCTGGATATTTTATAAAAATGGAACGGTACAACATGTGGCCTTTGTGCCTGATTTCCTTCACTTAGAATAATGCTTTCAAGGTATACTCTTGTAGCATGTATCAGTACTTCATTTCTTTTATTGTTGAACAATCCAATGTATGAATATGTAATTTTTATTTATCCTTTCATGAGTTGATAGACATTTGGATTGTTTCTACTTTTGACTATTATAAAAAATGCTGCCACAAACATTTGTGTACAAGCTTTTGTGTGGACATATATTTTCATTTCTCTTGGGTAGAAATCTAAGAGTAGAATTGCTGGGTCATATGGTAACTCCATGTTTTTTTAACCTTTTGAGGAAGTGCCAAGCTGTTTTCCAAAGCAGCTGAAATATTTTACATTTCCACCAGCAGGGTAGGATGGTTCCAATTTCTCCACATCCTCACTAACACTTGTTATTATCTGTCTTTTTTATTATAGCCAACCTATTTGGTGTGAAGTCATATCTAATTGTGGCTATGATTTATGTGATCTTAGTGGTTAACGATCTTCAGCACGTTTCTATGTGCTTATTTCCTGTTTGCATATTTTCTTGGAAGAAAAGTCTATTCCAATCCTTTGACCAGTTTTTAAAAATTTGGTTTTCTTTTTATTAAGTTGTAATAGTTCTTTATAAATTTTGGTTGCCAGTCTCTATCAGATATATGACCTGCAAACCTGTTCTGTGGGTTCTATTTTCACTTTCTTGGTAGTATCCTTTGGAGTACAAAAGTTTTTACTTTTAATTAGATTATTTAGAGTCAATGAACATATTAATATGCATCCAATCTCATTAGAGATTAAAGATAAAGAGAAATAAGATTTTTGTAACTTAGAAGATTGGCAAAGATGAAAATAAGAAAAATTAAATTTATCATTAGCAAAGATTTAAGCACTCTCATAAACTCCTGGTGGGGTTTTAAATTGAACAAGTTTTCCTGAGACTATTTGGCAATGTATCTCAAAATCCCTAAAAAACAAAAATGAAACAAAACAAAAAATCTCTGTATCCTTTGACCCAACAATTCCACTTCTAGAAATGTATCCCAAAGAAAAAGTTGAACAACTTTGCAAAAATGGATTTTATTATTGGAATGTTTATATAACAAGAAATTAGGTGAGTAAAATCTAGCAATAGGAGATTGGTTAAATATATTCTGGTAAGCCATATAATAAGATACTGTATAATTATTATAAATGACCATTAATTTTTTTTTATTTTTTAAAGACAAGGTCTTACTATGTTTCCCAGGCTAGTCTCAATTCCCAGCCTCAAGCAATTCTCTCATTTTGGCCTCTCAATAAATGATAATTTTCATCAAGTTTCACCACCTATCATGTCCTTAAGGTCCAGATGTAACATAAATGAATGAAAAGGCTCTCTAGAAAATTGGACAGCATATGCCCCTTTTGGAGAGGGCAGTTTCAATTAACTGATGCCAAGCAAGAAAGTATATGTGTGGTGGTTGTGAGGTGGGGAGTGGGAGGTGTTCTGTGTTGTTAGATTATCCAGTATTTTAAAACATGCAGGACATTGAATTGTACGTAACATTTTCTGAATTTCAAAAGCTGTCTATTGCTTAAAGATTTTTTTAAAAAATGTTCAATGGCCAAATAAAACACATCATTTTTGGACTAGATTCAGTTCAAATGCTTGGAACTCTAATGTAAATACACATTTATTGACACAGAAAGATATCCATAACATATTGTTAAAATTTTAAACACCCTGCTACAAACAGTTTATATAATATCTCAATTTTGTTAAAATACAAGCATATTTACATATATGTATAAACTCTAAACAGTGTCTAAAGGGATATAAATCAAAATGTTATTAGTGGGTAATTTTGCTTTTCTGTTGTATATAGTTCTCTATTTTTGTATTTTTATATTGACCATTAATATTTTATATTCAGAAAATAAATGATACAGTTCTTTGTATCTGTGGTTATAAAGGTAAGAGTTAATAGTCTGGTTTAAAATGTTAAGAATAAACTTAAAATCAAAATCACTAAGTATATAATCTTGCACATGAAATCAGACAGACCCAAGTTCAAAATCAATTATTCCATTAATTACCTCAGTGGCTTTGGGCTTTCTCACCTGTAAAATGCCAGTGATAATACCCGCCATCTCCACCTCAGATCCTATTGGTGATGTAAAAATGAATAAATAAAAATAGAATTAATATCTAAAACACTACATTCCTAGCATCACCAAATCTAAGTAGATAGAAGAGAGAAGGGGGCTTTTTCTACCACAGTTCAAGTCTAGAAAGGAGACAGATGCTCCTCATAGAATGTAACAATGTCATGGAGGCATAATACACAAAAAAAAATTGTTTGTTTTTGCTATTCTATCTGGAGGCAGGAACATCACAGGAGACTAGGAGACTTTTCCCTTGCCACCTCCACTCCCAGAATCCAAAGCTCCTCCCTGCTCCACATCTCACTCCCCATCTAGCAAGGACACCCAGTGGAATGAAGCAGAGTATGGCTGACAACCCACTGCCAGAAATAGCATCAGATGAGGCAGAATCCATATTACGTTTTTGAGAATTTTTGGGTGGGTCCTAAGTGTGAGTAGAGCTCTGGGACAAATAAAATAAACTAGAGAAGCTACTTCCAAGGATTGGATTTGACCCTGGAGTAAATAAATGTATAAATATTGTTTGAGAGTTTGTCATCCTTTATCTCCTCTTCCCACCTAACTGTATATCCAGTAAAGACATGGATTTACCAAATAGAATTCAAGTAGATGAAGAGGTACACTAGTAAAATCAACCAATCAGCTGATGTAAGGTGGGTTTTGTTTCTGTCTATAGAACCTCTTTTTCACCACAAAGGGCTTAACACCTGCATTCCACTATTCCTCCTACCAGCAAGTTAAATATAACAGAGGGTAAAGAAATTTTTTCAGGCCATTGTAGCATCATTGGAAACTTGCCTTCAAATGACTTCAGGTACCTCCTCCTCGAGTGCCCAGTTTTAAACCCAGGGAATAATTTCATCATATCTGGTCCATGGAAATAGCAAACTCTTTAAGATATTTTTGATGTAGTAACCCATTTTCATTAGCTTTGCTTTTTCAATTCACAATAAAAGAAAACAATAAGTGTTTTTTTCATATCTTTACTCTTTCAGTAATGTGCAACATAAACATAATAGTGTTAAGAAGTCAGAAATAACACAGAAGCTATAGGAGATGTTTATATTTGCAAAATTTCAACAATTATCTTCTCTAGGTTTCCCCAAATTAGCATATTTGTTAATCAAATTAATTAAGAAGCTTTTCAAAATAAAAGCAATGCTTTAAATAAATATATTCTTTCATAACCATAGAACATTTAGTTCTGTTGGAGGTAACAAACATTACACTCAAGTACTTTATGAAGACATTAGGGTAAAAATTACCTAGATGCAATTATAAATGTACCCTAATTAGTCATTTCTTTTTGCATGTATGCTTTTCTGTGTGTGTTAGGGTTATATCATAGATGTGTGGTAACTGGTTAGCTCTTAAATTATCACAAAGATATTATCGGACCCACAGAATTTATATCAGCTCAATGTGATGATATGATATTGTTTGAACAATATCTTTAAATTTAAATTTAGTACCCTAAATTACATCCAAACAAAGCCAACACCTCTAAGCTGCCATATCTGTTATAGAAAATGAGTGCTAGACTCTCAGCTTGGAAGAATGAGACCTTCCTACAAATCTCGAAATTATACAACAATATTATTGTCACATCAAAATCCTAATTGCAACAGAGCTTTCAGTGTGTTTCAGAGTACCACACAGGTAGGTATAAATTCACTTATGATCAGCTTTTCTAGTGAAATCATATGTTTAGTAAATGACTACAGAAAACTTCCTAAAAATTGATTTTATTTAATAAATATTTTTTAAAGTTTTCTGACTGAAGAAATGACCTTGCTAATCTTTTTAGAAATTCTCATCATCTGTTTAATCTTTCATTCACTTTTATTTCTACTCTGATTCTTAGGAATTTTTCTAATCTATATTTAATCTACCAAAACATCTATGCTTTGATAAATTTGGCTTCCTTCAATAATAAGCTATGCTAAGATCACTAAATTAAATGTCAAAGGCAGAGAAGTCAAATTAAACACAGCAACAGGTTACAGTAAGTGCTCTTTAGAATTTCAGATTAAAACAATTGTCCCAAAATGATCAAGGAATAACTCACTAAATGAATAATGCAACACAGAATAGATTTTAACAGAATTTCTCTCTCTCTCTCTCTTTCTCTCTCTCTGCCACACACACACACACACACACACACACACACTCTTCCACAGGCATCCACACAGGGGTGTTGACACATGTCTCAGAATTTAAAACACTGATACTAAAGGCTTTAATTTAGATAAATTAACTACACTGAAATACTGACATTGTGAAAATATCTATGTCCAATACCCCATATAGGGCACCATTTTGTGAACTTATAAAACATTTAAAGAAAGAAAACAAGAATGAGAAACCAGAGTCCTTGATAAGATGGGTGAACGTGTCGATAATGCCCAGAGTCACAGCTTCCCATTCTCCTCACTACTTTCCTTCTCCTCTATGGCTTCCAGGCTGCGCTTGCTCTTGGCCTCAGCACTGCTGCTGGGGGCTTTACTCAGTCCACAGGACAGGCATGCCAGCTGGATCTGCTTCATGTTTTCTATAGCTTCATTCTTGGCATTCTTCAACAGATCTCCTTGGCCCTACAAACAGAAAAAAACAGGCATCAAAGAAGACAGTTATGGGCCAGGCATGTGCTGAGTGACATCACTCTATGTTCTTACTGCCCATTGCTGAATAAGGAAACAGACCCAGACCTGCAAGCTCACTTTTCCAGGGTTTAACCCAAGGTTCTTTTCTAACATTATTAAGTGACTTTGCTTGTTAAGCCAAGTACCTCAACCTGAGCCTGACCAGCTGGCTATGCAATTGCTGGCAGTCCGTTGAGATTCCTATTGTGAGGAATCCTCCTCTTTATGTGCTGAGGACATCAACTCTTCCATCACCATGGTCTGAGACTCTGCACACTGCTGCAATACCTACCCCGCCCAGATCCAGCATTCCTAGTCTTGGGAGAAAACAAGGAAAGAAGCTCTTCCTTAAAGAAGTGAAAATAAAATCTCCCCCTCTGTACAAGAGCTTACAAAGCAAAGTGTCTTCTGTAAAGTAAGTCACATACCCTTATGCTTGGTGAGCTGGTTTTTAATATACTGGGTCATCCTTGCAATCTGCCTGTTGTTAAATTATCAGTCACCCACATTACTTCTGCCTTTTCCATCATCCTGAAGATGATGTTCCCACCTGGCAGATGGAGAAAAAGAGTCTCCAGAGGCAAAACAAAAAGGAAATGAGGATTGCAGGAACACATTAGCTGTCATTTACATCAGTGCCCAACAGAGATCTTTTCCTGCTATTTTTATTTCTTATTTTAGTTCACTGTTATGAAGATAAAGTGCGTATACTGATACTGGCCCAAGGGCTGAATGACTGAGTGTGGGGAAGCAGGGACAGGTGTCTATGGCCCATAGACAGAGGAAGAAGTAGCTTCTTCCCTCTCCTCTCCATTCTCATGGCAGTGCCTGAAAGTGTGACCTTGAAAGGACAATATGGGTGGATATGGGGTTATGACGATTGCTGGAGCATTATTCTACAAAGCAGAGGCTCAGAGAAAGGATAATTTACCTATTTTATGAAAGGCCAGTAAATGCTTTTTCCTTAGGGTGTATGAAGAAACTTGTATTTTACAAAAGCTTGGAATATTTTATTTCTCAAAACCTAAATATGCACTTGCCAATTCTATCCTCTGTAAAAAATAGCTAAATCCTTCTAATAGCAGCTTTTAATTATATGGGATGATTAAATAGTTGGGCTTTGCCTGATGTTTGTGTTAAAGCGAACTTCTTCTCAAGTACATCAATTATGGTATGGGATTTTGGAAGAAGAGTTGGAGGTGGACAGTTTTGCCTTCTCCTGAGGAGAAATGAAGCTGAGCCTGATGAGGTTAATTGACTGTCCCAAGGTCACAGCTGGTTAATCGCTGAGCTGGGACTAAAGTTCAGGCCTTTGGCCTCCTGCATCAATGCTCTATTCCCCACACCATGTTTACAATCTAGTCTGAGACTAAAGACTAGAGATTAGAGCCTAAAGACTCTGTCAGTGAGAGATGTATTTTCTAAAGAAAAAATATTTACTACACCAGCAGACTTTGGGAAGTCTGTTCTTAACACTATAGACATCACGAATGAGTCTGCTCAACAAAACTGCACATTCTGCACATGTATCCCAGAACATAAATTTAAAAAAAAAAGTGAAGTCACATCCACTTTGAAAAGTGCAACTCTTCAGTAATAATAATAACAGACCAACATATGAAGTGCTTGCTCAGTGTGGTCACTCTTTGTGCTTTATACATGTTCATTCAATCATTCATTACAACATCCCTATGAGATGGGTACTTTCATTATTCTCAATTTACTGATTAAAAAAACTGAGGCCCAGAGCACAGTCACCCTTCCCAAAGTCATACAGCTGCTAAGTGGTAGAGCTGGAGCTTAAAATCCAGCAGCTGGCTCCGGGGTCTGTGGTTTTAACCACTACCTGATAGGCATCTTTTAACAGCAAAGCAGGCACTCTCTGCAGGGCACCCTAGAGACTCCTATTCATTGTTACCCATGGAAGCAACGCAGATAAAAAGAAAAGCATTGCCCATGTGACACAGCCTGACACAATTTAGAGATAGCATCCAGAATCAGGAAGACAGGGCAGAGCAAGAACACACTAGCAGGGACGAGGGTTGGAGCATCTTCAACCAATTTTTATCTGGGCCATTTTCTCTTCTGCAAAAATGATGAAAATATCCTTCAGCCTTCCTTACAGTTCTAAGATTAAAGACAATATGTTGAAGAGCTCTTTATGATTTAAATGATCATAAGTATAGGAATCACAATGATATAAGGTGATTTAGAAAGTGGTTAACATTATCTGCTACTATATATAATAAGTATCTTGGTACTATCTATATTTTATTAAAAATTTGACTAACATTTAAAATGCATCTACCAGAGTCTGTTTTACAGAGATATGTATAATGTATATGTACTACTATATTTTTAAAGGAATCTTTCCATTTATAAAAAATCTATTAGTAATGAGACTATATCCTCCTTCATTTTCAGAGTATTACTTTTAAGTGTTCCCTTTTCATTTAGTTTTGAAAGTTTCATCAAGAATTTTAAAAGCATAGCAGTAGCAAAACTGGCAACTTTCCTAATTGCAAGAGAACAGTGAAACGTACAAAAACATCATTTTATCCTACTAACGCATAAAATTCTCACATCCCCTTTTCCCACAGCATGGCATGAAACATATTTTAATAATCCAGAATGTCATCTCATTGGTTCTAAGAGGTGGCATCCAAATGCCAGACTGTGCCATTTCTGGTAAATAGAAGTCAGTCTCTGTAGAAAACAATGGCCAATGGGAGGAAACAGTTTGTACCAGTGCATAACTAACACAACTACATCATCTCCTGATAACCCTGGAGACAACACACACTGGCTGTACCATATAGGCAAGAAAAAAAAAAAATAGGTAAACTATTAACTAATAAAAGAAGCAAAACTGAAAGGCTGTGTTGTGAAGAGTGTACATTGAAACATGATATAAACTTCTGTTTTCTCTTTTTTTATGAAGGAGGAATAGCAGTCATCTTTCTGTTCTGTGGTTCCAGGAATCACAACCTGCATCTCTTCTTTGGGTCTTCCGAATCAAGGCACCAGAATCAGAAAAGACACATTCTGGTGAAAATTGTAGAAGGTGAATTTGATTGTTAACAACCACCACCCTGGCATTTTCCCTTGGCATGCTGACTTTTTTCCCATTTTATATGCAGCAATTTTCCCTAATCATCTAGCAATCTCTTTCTCTCTACTCTGTCACAAACACCCCCAAACTTCTCTTAACCAGCCAGCTTATACCAGATCTCCCTCTAAACGTCTTTGTCCTGTGTATCATTTCCTCCAAAATATATTAGGTACAGCAGGTGTCCCCAACCCTGGGGCCATGGACTGATACCAGTCCCTGTGACCTGTGAGAAACCAGGCTGCACAGCAGGACGTGAGCAGTGGGTGAGTGAGCATTACTGCCTGAGCTCCCACTCCTGTCACATCAGCAGCGACATTAGATTCTCAGGAGTGTGAACCCTATTGTGAACTGAGCCTGCAAGGGATCTAGGTTGTGTATTCCTTATGAGAATCTAATGCCTGTTGATCTGAGGTTGATCCAGTTTCATCCCAAAAACCACCCCCCGACACCCACCATGGTATTCAGGTCAGCCAAGCCATTTAAAGGTATTCGTCTATAGTATATATTTAAAGAGTAACCTAACAAGTCATTCTTAAGAAAGTGTTTTAATCTTATTCTCCCTAAACAGAGGTCTTAAGGGAAGAGGAGGAACCCCAGGAGAATTCATTTTATTTGGTGATATAGAAATGGAAACACCTCTTGTATACTAAAATAAGTTTAGGATTGTTATGGCATGAAATGCAGAATTAATGTACAAGTTGACCACTGAACACTCAACTTGAAAAAAAAATGTCAAGCTGCTGCCGGCATTTCTATACTAGCAATCTCATGGGGATTTGAAGTATCCTCTGGTACTGGGGATCCTTCATGAAAAAAAAAAAAGAGAAGGATGCTTTAACTCAAAGGAAAGTGAGGGTAATAGAGAGCGCCTCAGGTAGACTGATGCTGATGGGACAACAAGACTAATAGAAGTCCCAAGAGCAATGGCCACCATTTAGCCTCCACAGTGATTTGGCTTCTGAATGTAAGGTTCCACTGGCAGGTCCAACACATTTAGAAAGTAACATGGACTCATGCAAAGCCACAGAGATCATTATAGAAATTCTGAATTTAAAAATGAGTGATAATTAGTGAATATTTAAAAAACAAACATTAAGCATTCCTTATTAAATCTTTCCAACTGCATTAAATTATAATTAAAGTACATTATCTAGAAATCAGGAAATAACTGATGCAATTTAGATTGCAAATTGGGCTGCCGTGCATTGCTGTGGTGATATATCACCACAATTTTGATTACTACTAATAAATTTACTACTGACAAGAAATATTGTCACAACACTAAACAGCAGCTAACATTTACTGAACACTTAATATACTAAACGTAAACCAGTTCAAATACATCTCATTATATCCTAACCATAAAATAGGGTAGAATTCTAAATATAAATTATCTTTTAGTAATATATCTTATAACCCATCAAAAGATATTTAGGATTTCTGTTACTTCCATTTTTACCAAAAAAATGCAGTCCTCCCCCCACCAATGAAAATGGTTTTGACTACAGTCTGGCAGAATTATTCACAAAAGACATCCCAGGCTCCTTCACACCCACTTTTCCCATGAACCGCACTATCCCTTGTGATATTAGTACACAAAAGAGCAGGAGAACATCATAACTAGTGTTCTCATCAAGTGTAAAGGAAATGAGTGGGTTGTTTCAGAGCACACCACAAATATTTAAAGCAGCTAATTGGGACTCTGGGAATAGGAAAACCCTCACATATACAAAACTACACACATAAACAAATGCAGCTCTGTCTCCAAGTCAACTCGTGTGAGTATTTTTGAGCCCACACTCATCAGCAGACTGGGTTTTCTGATATTCTTTTATCCATGGGAGAGTCCATACCCACAGTAGAATCACCCTTGGACAGTGCTGCAGTAGAAACCAGTCACAGACATCATAGTGGGATGAGTAGTTATTTATTTGGTCCATTGATGGACCATACTGTGGAGGGCTGTGCACAACTGCCATCTTACTAATTCAAAAACCATCCGTTGGGACTCTATCATTTAAGAAGTTTAATCCTTTGCTCTGAAGAGGTAAAACAACTGCTACAATGTCCTTCATTTGAGAAATTAAAACAACAAATCAAAAATGTTTTGATGTCATGTTAGACTTTTTTTTTTTTTTTTTTGATGTTACACTCTTGGTATGTTACGCTGTTTGGAAAACTGGGTGAAACTATTCAAAGATGGCCTGGAATTCTTGCTCTCTAGAATGAAGGCCTATCTGTGTAGGAATTATATACAAGATGTTAACAAGAGTTAAAAGGCACAAAGGTGCAGCTATTAGGAAATTGCATATAATATAACTTAATTTTGCACAAAAATAGAAGTGTCCACTGCACTAAGTTATCAATGCTCAGATTTACTGTTTTGCAACACCTCAGCAACCAAATATTTCAACTGCATTCTACTTGCTATTTAAAAAGTTAAATTTTTACTCCATGAACACTCAAGAAATATGGATGAATAGTCGTAGAGTAGTTCTGTTCTAACAGTCTTGGCTGAATGAAGCTTTATCTGTTATTCTTCTGAAACTCTAAACCCAAAACAAATGAAACTCTGCTTTTCAAATCTTTATTATATAATGCAATAAAAATAATCTGTACAGGAACATGAAGAGAATTACACTGGACATGCTCACCTGAGACATTAGATTTTGTAACTGTATATAAAGTTAATTTTTTAATTAGTTACATAAAGGATGTATTTTAGGATTGGTCACAAACTCTGATTAATTGAATACTTCTGAAAACTATGGAAACTGAATATAAATAAATCTTTTTAGTTCCTGAGAATCTAATTCTCAAGAAAAAATAATTTATAAAGTATAGAAGACACTTTAAAGAAATGTTAAGAATAATTTAATGCCAAAGGGTCCACAGAAAATTGTAAAATGCAGCAGATGACATGTTTAATAAGCCATATGAAAGGCTCAGAAAATTTTGAAATCATACTCTGTTAAAATTCAACATAATGAAAATTAAATTTGAAAGAAATTTGAAAGATCTTCTTTTACCACATTTCTTTCTCAAATAACACCTGCATTGTTACAATAGCTTTCCTATCAAGCTTTCTTTGTTACAATAGCTTTATTTATCAAGAAGTCTTGGTTAACTTGAATGTTGAAGAAATGAAGGACCCTAGTTACTTCAAAATAGTAATTAACTGCATTTTAAGCAGAAAACCTTTGTATTAGCCATGTTTTTTAAAATAGTTTTAATATAAGGAGACAATTTTATGTTCTTGTATATATAGAATTCTACATATAAGTGAAGTCTTTCAACATTATTTAAACACTACTCACTAATAATAATATAATTTAAAAAACCATTAATAATCCAGTGGCAACAATGCTGACAATAGGTCCTGTTACTGGTGGAAAACATCTGTATCACTCAATAAAACCCACTGCATTGAGATGCACTTGTTGACCAGAGCTTAAAAAAGAAGTATGGGCCAGGCGCGGCCAACATGGTGAAACTCCGTCTCTACTAAAAGAACAAAAATTAGCTGGGTGTGTTGTTAGGCACCTGTAATCCCAGCTACTCAGGAGGCTGAGGCAGGAAAATTGCTTGAACCCAGGAGGTGGAGGCTGCATTGAGCCAAGATCGCACCACTGCCCTCCAGCCTGGGTGACAGAGCATGACTCCATCTCGGGGAAAAAAAAAAAAGTATGAAATTTAATGTTTCAAATTCTCATTTATTGTCCCTGTTATACCTTGTTCAAAGCTATGTATATGTGAACTGAGATACACCCATCTCTTCCCTGTGCTTTGGAAACAATGGTGGTCTCTTAGCTATTAATGAGGACTTGCACCTTAGTTTTCATTTTATTCACTTATCCAGCAAACAAATATTTATTAAACAATTACTGTATACCAGACTTTGGCCTGAGGTTCTCAATCTATCAAAACCAACCCTTTGAAACAAATACTTTGTAAGGCTTTCTTTATTTTCATAAACTTAAATTCATAGATAATATAACCTATTCATGTATTATTAAAATAAATATAATACCCTAGCTGTAATATAAAGGAGAAAAAGGGAATGGTCATTTAAAATAAAATAACATGTATTGCCATATGTGAATGTCAGGCAGGCACACCAGAAACCTGAAGTAGGCAGATGCCTGTACTTAATATGAATGCAATTAGATATGAAAGAGAAATAAGATCAGATGCCATTCCACTCAAAAAATACATATTTAATGGAAAATGATAATGCAAATGTAGAGACAGACACTAGTATGAAAACAAATAATGGCAATAGACTAGTTGTATTTGCATAGAATAAAAGAAGGAAAGAAACAACCTCAATTAAGGTCGGCATAACATGCCAAGACAAATACAAACCCTCACTGTGGAAAGAAAAAGCTGATAATCCCATAAATGAGGAAGTAAATAATGTCCATACACCACATCAAAACTGCCAAATCTTTTTTTTTTTATTTTGAGACGGAGTTTTGCTCTTGTTGCCCAGGCTGGAGTGCAATGGTGCGATCTTGGCTCACAGCAACCTCCACATCCTGGGTTCAAGCGATTCTCCTGCCTCAGCCTCCTGAGTAGCTGGGATTACAGGTACAGGCCACCAGACCCAGTTGATTTTGTATTTTTAGTAGAGATGGAGTTTCTCCATGTTAGTCAGGCTGGTCTCAAACTCCTGACCTCAGGTGATCCACCTGCCTTGGCCTCCCAAAGTTCTGGGATTACAGGTGTGAGCCACCACGCCCAGCAAAACTGCCAAATCTTTAAAAGTACTCCAAAGGTCATTGTTCTTGTGATTGATAATACCAGCTGATACTTTGTGGGGCCCAGGCGGATGCCCACCATGGATTATCAATAATAAAAAATAAGGTATCAGGTTAAAACCATTATCTGACTGCCCAATTTGTTCCAATATTACTGTGTAGCAATTATATGGTCAAGTGGACAAAATACCCAAGGTGAGTAAATTATTCAATAATTTGGAAACAATGTCTTTATTTCATTTAGACTTACCTCTCAATAACTACCTTTTACTCAAGTACTGGCCTTCAAACAACTTCTTGTAAAAAATAATAATAATTAATTAATATCATATACTAAAGTATTCTGATTTGTATTTTAGAGGGTGATATGGTTTGGCTCTGTGTCCCCACCCAAATCTCATGTTGAATTGTAAACCCTGGTGTTGCAGGAGGGGATTTGGTGGGAGGTGAATGGATCAAAGGGGCAGATTTCCTCCTTGTTGTTCTTGTGATAGTAAGTTCTCAGGAGATCTGGTTGTTTGAAAGTGTGTAACACTTCCCCTTAGCTGTTTCTCTTTCCTGCCACCATGTGAAGATGTGCTTGCTTCCCTTTTGCCTTATGCCATGACTGTAAGTTCACTGAGGCCTCCCCAGCCATGCCTCCTGTACAGCGTGAAGGACTGAGAAAACAAAACAAAACAAAACAAAAAAACCTCTTTTCTTTATAAATTACCCAGTTTCACGTAGTTCTTTATAGCAGTATGACAACTGACTAATACAGAGGGTTTACTCAGGCAGGACTTAACAGAAATCTTGCAGGACACAGGACATTTTTCATCATGTTGTACTGCCCTGCCCAGAGCATGACATCAAATATTCCTGTCTGTTTCCACTAAATGCCAGGAGAATCCTCCCAATCACCTCTACAACTTCCCAGAACACAGCCTAGGGGGCAGTACTGCACCCATTGAGAATCACCAGGCTGGACTCTGGGGGTTACAAAAGTGAGCACAGACATCATCCCTGCCCCTACGGAACCTATTTCTAGTGTGGGATACAGGTATATATAAAATAACCACAAAAATAAAGTTATATCTAACCTTAAATTATGCTAAGTACTTGAGGGAAAAGAATGTATTGCTGTGAGGACTAGGAGATTAGACAAGCCTCCCCATAAAAAGTAACAAGAAAGCAATGATTTGCAAGATGAGCAGGCATCTTCATTTATTTCTTGGCATCTTATGATCAGTGAAACACAGTACAAGGATTTTTTTATGCTTGCCTGGAGGAGAGGCAAGAATCCTCCTCCAGTCTTACAGATACAGATATACATGGTATGGGAGAGTGTTCTGGAAGGTTACCGCCTTTATGGCACAGCACCAAATTGCCTAATACATTCCATTTTTCCTTACGTTTTCTCTATTTAGGATTTATTTTGTTTCATTGACATTTATACTGAAAGAAACACTGAAAGTGGAAAACAATAAAGTGTCATTTAGTGACAGTATCACTGAGATCTGCTAAATAACCGTTCTTAGTAATTATTTCAAATTTTCGAGCCATTCGAAGGACTCCTTTTATAACCTTCAGGTGAATAAATGGACACAGGAAAGCTAAAAAAATACATTGCCCAGGTTCACACGAGAAATAAGTGTGAAGGAAATGAATAATGCCGGCTTCCCAGGCCAAGAGTTGTTTTTCTTAATCTCTATATTGTTTATTTGTTTTTTTGTGTTTTTTTATTTAATTTAGGTACATTACATGATATGGTGCACATGTCATCAAATAGATCTATTTGATCAAATAGAAAAGAAAAACTAGCTTAAGACTTCTTTGGTTTATAAAAGAATTTCTTGATAGAACTTCACAAATGTCCCAGACATAAATACTATCCTTGTGCTGATATTTTGATTTCTAACTTTTGTCTTCAGTGTGGGTACAGGGTTTGGAAGCATTTAATAATTTTAATCTGAGCCAGATTTTCGGAAAACTGAAATACAAAAGCAATGATAGAGGATTCATGAGTGGGATAAGTGCTGGAAAAAAGGACTGGTTTTCACTTCAAAGGTATCGTCATAAGCCCTGATGGCTCAGATCCAAAAAGAAGATTATTAATGAATCATATTCATGACAGGCATCCACTGAACGTTTTGAAGGATGCTACTAATGTGAGGCCTCATCAGTCAATTCTCAGGGCCCCTGTACTGATTTCTCCTTGCAGCACCCATGAGCCCCCACAAGCCTTCCACATAAGCTGGCTGCCCAAGATGGCAGAACACACTAGCTGACGAGTGGAACCCCAGGAGTGATGAAGGAATAAATCTGATTCTAAGGATTCCTCATTTCTCTCTTAGAATAACAATCTAGACTAGTCTCTAGTCTCTAGACTAGAGACTTTGAATCGTAACCATATTGCCATTCTTATAAGTGAATTTACAGCATAAGCTCCACTCTTACTGTACCTGGGCTCAAATCCTGGCTCCAAGACTTACTAGCTTTTTGACCTTGGGCAAGATCACTGGGTGCCTCAGTTTCCTCATCCATAAAATGGCTATAATAATTGTACTCACCTCATAGATTTTTTGTGAGATTAAGAGAGATAATACCTCTAAATTCTTTAGAACAATGCCTGCCATACATGGAAAACTCTAATGATCGTTAGCAATTATTATTCTATTATATAAACAGAAATAACAATGTTGTAGATAAGTCCACTGTCCTTTGCCTCATAAAAATGTGAGGAAACAAAAACATCTTGAAACTTAAAAAGACAAGTTGACAAAGTGGAGAGAATAAAATGCGACAATAAAAGCCAGGATTGCATTACTCATTAGTCCAAAAAAAGACCCCATGTTTAAAATAAAAATGACAATTGCATTAATGTGGCAACTTTCCTTGGGGGATCCCAAAAGGCATCATCCTCCCCTCTCAAAAGCTTATTTTCTTACTCATAATTTAGAGGCTACAACATTGTTCAGTGTCAAACACCAAAGCGTTGCTCACTATTGGAATAAAAAATGTAAAACAGCTGTTTCATTTAAGCCAGCAGAGAAAGTAAAAATGAGCTGAAATCATTTGTCACTAAAAGAAATTAATGCCAAACATTATCTTTTGTGACAGACCTGTTTTATTTCTGAAGATACCATAAGATAGGTTCCTACGGGGGTGCTCTGTTTAAGAAGCCATCTGTCTGCTTTGGGCAAATGACTGCAAGCCTAATCCACTTACAGAAAATGTCAACAAAATTGCTTCAACACCAGTGAGCTGAATAATAGAAAACCCCAAGCTAAACTTTAAAAATATGATTCAACTGCAGGAAGCCTTATGAATTTAGGTTTGTGTGATGATACTGGTATTCTAAGAATTTTCTTGCAGTCATTTTGACAAAAGAACCATTCAATAAAATAATAGCAGTCACTGCTTGTTTATTCCCTTGCTCTCTGCTCTTTCCTTCCCATTATTGTGATCATCTCCCTCTGTGTCAACAGAACTAATAGGATAGGACAGAATATTAATGTCAATCTTTAGCAAGGTGATGAAGGTAATTAATTGCATTTCAAATGAAATTTAGTAACAGATCGTGATTAGCACAATAAACAAACACTGTTTAAAAGTTCCAACATCTCAAATTAACTTTCCATGGATAATAAATGACCCTGAGATCTGAATTCATACTACCGCCATGAGTGTCATAAGCCGAATACAGAAGGAGCTTCTATAGAAATCTCTACCTGACCAACTCATGCTATTCCCATTTCAAAAAATATCATTTATAACAGCTTGAGAGACAGAGGATGGCCCAAACCCCAGAGCAAAGGCTATCAAGATAGTTACAAATATTAGCAAAATATTTTTTAAATACATTCTGGTATTTGGTTGGTAAGGTTTCACTCTAAAAAGTTACTGTTAAATTGTTGCTCAAATTATTGGTTACTTGATCCGTCCAAAAAGTAATTCTGCAAACATGCCAGAACAAAAGTGCAAATACAATAACAACAGTATACCATAGAGTGAACTGATCACAAAAATGGCTTCAGCTGCTTCACCACCTCCACAGTGCTGGATTTCAGCAAGTAAATTGTTTTTCATGACATCTGTCCCGTGTTACACAATTCCAAGGGCACAATTCACCCTGCCTTCTACGTGCATGGCATTCCCTACAGCCAATGACAGTTGTACTACATCTGGTCTAGATATGTCCTTTTACCAAGGACATTTATTCTTTATTCTCTGCTAAATCATAATGCTTTTAAAGAGGCTGAAATTGTCCTCTTTGAGAGTGAATCATGGCATGTGTACGGCTGGCCCATCCCATAGCCTTGTAGCCACCCTTCTATGCTGGCATGAGTTCCAGGTTCTGTGTTAGCTGAAGTGGCCAAAGAGTTATTAGCAAGATATTTCTAAAGGGGCAACTTCTTCCACCCTCCGCCCAATGAGTCAGGTTTTAATGAATGAGGCTAAGGCAGCTATAAAATAAAACATGCTACTTCTTAGTTAAATCAAGGATGTGGCCAACTCAGCTTCCTCCACAATGACTGGTTTGGAGATTTGGTCATTAATGAGATATTCACTCTCGGTGCCCCAGATTCAGCAAAGCATTCATTTAAACACCAGATTAATGTTACTGCAAGGAAAGTCAAGACCTATTTTCTCTAATCTGAGACTGGCTCCAATTTCAGATCTCAGACTCAAGCCATCTACACCAACAGACTACTAGTTACACTTTTTCCTCCAACTTTTTATATTATTTAAAGATTTTTCAACCCTACACAAAAGTTGAATGAGTAGCATCCATATTTCCCAATTTTTCAGATTGTGTCGTGTTGGCTTGATCAACTTACCTATCCCCATCTATCCAACAATGTATACTTCACCCTAAATACCTCAGTGTGCAGACCATGAAAATGAGGACATTCTGTATAACTACAATACTCTTATTAACCCCAAAGAAATTAACATTCACTCAGGAATTGCATCTGATATACAGTACATATTAAATTTCCCCAGTTGTCCCAAAACATCTTATTACTTTTTTAAAAATCCAGAATCCAAACACACATTAATTACTAGCATCATTGAAAATAGCAACTCAGTTACGTGAAGTTAGAGTAAAAGCATGAGTGAGGGAGAGTGTATTGGGAAATGGAACAGCAAATTCACAGCAGTAAATACCACTCACTCAGAAAGACAAACATTTCCACAGCTTCACTCCTGTTGACTTTATGGAATATGCACCATTAAATCATCACATGCACTTGTCAAAACATTTCTTCTAAATGTCAAATACCATCACTCTTACATTCTTATTTTTTTTTTTTTTTTAGATTTCTTTTACTTGGAAGTTTTTTTTTTTTATTATACTTTAAGTTTTAGGGTACATGTGCACATTGTGCAGGTTAGTTACATATGTATACATGTGCCATGCTGGTGCGCTGCACCCACTAACTCGTCATCTAGCCTTAGGTATATCTCCTAATGCTATCCCTCCCCCCTCCCCCCACCCCACCACAGTCCCCAGAGTGTGGTATTCCCCTTCATGTGTCCATGTGATCTCATTGTTCAATTCCCACCTATGAGTGAGAATATGCGGTGTTTGGTTTTTTGTTCTTGTGATAGTTTACTGAGAATGATGATTTCCAATTTCATCCATGTCCCTACAAAGGATATGAACTCATCATTTTTTATGGCTGCATAGTATTCCATGGTGTATATGTGCCACATTTTCTTAATCCAGTCTATCATTGTTGGACATTTGGGTTGACAAATCTGAGAAAAACAAGCAATGGGGAAAGGATTCCCTATTTAACAAATGGTGCTGGGAAAACTGGCTAGCCATATGTAGAAAGCTGAAACTGGATCCCTTCCTTACACCTTATACAAAAATCAATTCAAGATGGATTAAAGATTTAAACGTTAGACCTAAAACCATAAAAACCCTAGAAGAAAACCTAGGCATTACCATTCAGGACATAGGCATGGGCAAGGACTTCATGTCCAAAACACCAAAAGCAATGGCAACAAAAGCCAAAATTGACAAATGGGGTCTAATTAAACTAAAGAGCTTCTGCACAGCAAAAGAAACTACCATCAGAGTGAACAGGCAACCTACAACATGGGAGAAAATTTTCGCAACCTACTCATCTGACAAAGGGCTAATATCCAGAATCTACATTCTTATTTTTAAATCAACTTTGTAAGTATATATGCCTGGAAAAAATTCACCATACATTCACCAAACCCATTCAACTTTGTGAGTGTCATGATAAGGCCTCCCTAATCCTTCCTATCCAGATTTCTTCCCAGAATATCTTACTGTGAAAATCAAACTATCAGTATCTAGTGGGAGAGGACATTCATATTCAATTCCTTAATATGTCAGTAGTTGAGATTTCTTAGAACTTTGAATATGTGGACTCCCCCCCCCAAAAAAACACATTTTTAAAGAAACTTTAAACTATCACCATGTAGAGAATCCAGAAGTTTGTCAGGCCTTATGCAATGCTGTCCATGTCCACAGACCTCTGGTAAAGAAAACAGCCCCACGCTGACCTTGAGTTGGAATGGCCCTGCTCTAAAAGGTAAGAACCAACCACCACAGCCAAAACTGGTTGGACCAAGGATTCACCACAGCCCAAGTGTGGCCAATCAGTAGCTGACCAGTGACCTATGAGATGTCCTGATGCCAGGCAGTAATGACAGCAATTAGACAAACCAATTGGATTAACTCTTTCTGAGACTGAAACTGAAAAATTCTAAGAGTCTTAGTTGGTTGTGAACAGAATGAAGTGCTAGAAAATATAGAGAGGAATAAAAGACCAGCAGAGCTGAGCCCCTGTAAGCCCACAGCACTAGAGTGAAAATCTACAATTCTTGCTCTTAAGGCAAGGAAAGGGGAAATGGAAAAGGAAAAGATAACACAGTCCTCTAAAGCCTGCTTCAAATGTGAAGGATCTTCTAGCCTGAGATTCCATGAGGCTGCCCATTCAGTGGCTCCTCTTCTTTCTAGGAGATGTGTTCCCTGCATCGTCACATGCAGTCTCACTTCAAGAAGCCTGAATGAGTCCCGTTTTATTTTAAATGAGAAATGACAGGCTTGCTACAATTTTAACCACACCATTTGATTGCTTGATAACCAAGGCAAAATAGAGTTTAAACCATGTCCTGGCTAAGGCTTTCAAGCTTCTTGCAGAGAAAACCAGAATCAGTCAAAAGGATAGAAAGAATAGGGGTTATGGCTGATGTCTGCAGTGGGAAGAATGATTAATAAGTTATGAATTGACTTTGTGACTTTGGAAATGTCCCTAACTCCTGTGGGCAGCAGTTTCCTTTTCTCCAAAACATGGGGATTTGACGAGACGTTCTTTGATTTGACCTCATATGCTAAATGTCTACTGTTTATTAATTGGGGCTCAGGTTAAAATTGCTATGTTAAAATTCATCACCTAATTGCTTACAATAATAGAGACTGTCTCGTGAAAGATAAAAAAGCAATTAAAGTGCTATGATAGTGGAATAGCAGAGTTCTGTGGGAATACGTACAGGGATACCTAACTCTGTTGAAGATGGGAGGCAGGAGAAGGTGAGGTGTCCATGAAGGCATCCTGAAGACTCCGTACCTGAGCAAACACCTGAAGTACAGATAACAGTGCCCCATGCAGTGTGAAAACAACAGGATGGGGGCTCCCAGGGAGCAGGGGTACAAGCAGGGTTACACACTTTCAAGGAAGAAGGGACAGTCCATGTGACTACTCAGCATGAAAGCATCCCTGGTGCCACTGAGGAAGTGGAGAAAGTTCCATGTGGCTGGAGTAGTGCATGGAAGAAGAAGGCAATGAGAGACGAAGCTGGAGGGGAAGGAGGGGAGCTGAGAAGACAGGCCACAATGAGTTTCAGAAGAGAAGTTAAGAAGGAGCTGTGGGAAGCCCTGGAAGGGCTTTAGGAAGGGAGAATGGCCATGACCAGCTTTACATTCAAAAAGATCACTCCAGCTCTATGCTATGGAGTGGGAAAAGGATAGAGGAGAAATGACTTTTCACTAACTCAGGTGATAAATGAAGATAACTAAGGTGACGGCTATGGGAATGGAAGTTTCCTAGGGAGGTATTAAGGAGGTTGACCCAACGGTGCTTGCTAACCAATTAGAGGTGGAGAGTTAAGAAAAGGATCAAGGATAACCCCCAGGATTTAGGTTTGGATAACTCTGAGTTGTCATTTATTCATTCAAGCAGGAATTCCAGAGGTGTCACTGAGGATAAGCAGGACATATGGATAGGGATAAGCACAGCTGGAGACATGCCGACCTTGCTGTGGCTGAGTGACCTCCCAGGTACAATGCCTGGGAGGTAATTTGATATATAAACTATATGGGAGGATGAGCAGGGATCATCAAGAGATAAAGAGAGTGACACCTGGGCCAAAAATACACACTTGAGATTTGACAGCATGGTGAAGATAATCAAAACCCTTTGCATGAACTGTGTCCCCCAGGGACAGAAGGTGGAGTGAGAAGATAGCCTAAGCTAGAACCCTAAGAAATACCAGCATTTAACAGAATAGCAGAGGAAAGGGAACCTGCAAACGATTCTGGGAAGAAAGAGTCAGAGATGTAGGAAGAAGAGAGAAGGGGGTGGTGTCCCAGAAATCAAGAGAAGCAGTGTTGCAAGAAGTGGGGAGTCAGCCTGGGAAATATCACAATATTCTATCTCTACAAAACATAAAATTAGCAGGGTGTGGTGGCATGTGCATGTAGTCCCAGCTACTTGGGAGGCTGAAGCAGGAGGATTGCTTGAGCCCAGCAGGTTGAGGCTGCAGTGAGCCATGATCATGCCACCACAGTCCAGCCTGGGTGACAGAGCAAGACCCTGTCTCAAAAAAATTAAAAAAAATAAAAAGTAGGGAGTGCTTAGCCACGTAGAATGTTCCCAACTAGTCAAAAAAGATAAAAACTGGAAAAGTGTCCATGAGATTTTGTGACAAGGTGGTTATTGGTGACCTTGGTGAGAATGATTTAATGGAGTGTCGGGGAAGAAGAAAGATTAAAGTTGGCTAAGAAGTGAGTGGGAGGTAAGGAAGTGGATTCGGCAAGTATAAACAACCCTGTTAAGAAGTTTGACTATGTAGGCGAGGAGATAGAAAGAGGAAGGAGATGAGCTGAAGGAGGGCTGAAAGTCCTTTAGAAAAGCCCGTTTGTATACATATTGTTGATGAAAAAAGCAAGCCAAATTCTGTAAAATATTTGAAGAGATTTATTCTGAGCCAAATGTGAGGACCATGACCTGTGACACAGCCTCAGGAGGTCCTGAGAACATGTGGCCAAGGAGGTTGGGTTACAGTTTGATATTTTAAATTTTAGGAGGACATAAGACATCAATCATGGTTTGGTAGGGAAAGGCAGAACAACTCGAAGCAGGAGACTTACAGGTCATAGGTGGATTCAAAGATTTTTCTGATTGGCAATTGGTTGAAGGGTTTAAGTTATTATCTAAAAAACCTGGAATCAATAGAAAGGAGTGTCTGGGCAAAGATAAGGGGTGTTGTTGGAGACCAACGGTCTTATTATGTAGATGAAGTCTTATAGGTGGCCATCCTTAGAGGCAATAGATGGCAAATGCTTCCTATTCATACCTTTAAAAGGTACCAGACTCTCAGCTAAACTCTTCAGGATCAGAAAAAGACCTGGAAAGGGAAGGGGCTTCTCTAAAGGAGGTAAATTTCCCCCACAAGAGATAGCTTTGCAGGGCCATTTAAAAATATGTCAAAGAAATATATTTTGGGGTAAAATACTTGATTTTTCTCAGGGCCTGCTATCTGTCATGTGATGCTATACTGGAGTCAGGTTGGAATTTGGTATCTTATTGCTACAAAGAGCCTACTGTGTCTTAAGATCTCTGTTTTAATTTTAAGGCCGATCAGTTCAGCCTGAATTCCAAAGGGAGGAAAGTATAATGCAGCGTATCCAATTCCCTTTTACCATTGAAACTGCCTTTGCAAAATTATGACTGAGACAGTGAAAGAGATCCAACTTAAATGACTCCATCTTGCCTCTAACCTCCAAGCTGGGCATAGGCTGAACTAACTTTGGGAAGAACTTATAGTTTATGGTTTAAAACAAGAACAATAACATCCCTTTCCTAAAATAAACCTCCTTCTTGACTACTAACAGTAGCCACAAGATTAGAAATTATGGTTTAGGAGTCATGCAGCTGGAGGCTACAAGATTCTGACCCTCCCTAAACTGCTCCTAAGATCAGTACTTGAGAAGTTTTGCAGACCCTGCACTTGACGGATCAACTGGCACCACCATATCAAGAAATTGGCCCATCTGATCCTGTGATGCCCACCCAGGAACGGACTAAGCGCAAGAAGACAGTAACGCCCCATGATTTCCTCTCCATAATTTCATCTCCGACCCAGCCAATCAGCAGTCCCTGACTCACTGCCCCTCCCCTCCCACAAATTGTCTTTAAAAACTCTGATCCTGGGGAGACAGATTGGAGCAATAATAAAACTCCAGATTCCCGCACAGCTGGCTCTGTGCGAATTATTCTTTCTCTATTGCGATTCCCCTGTCTAGATGAATCAGCTCTTTCTAGGTAGCATGAAAGGTGAACCCAACTGGGTGGTTACACCATCAGGTTCCCATCATGGCCTGAACTAGCTTTTTGGAATTTTTTGGAATCCCCTTGTCCCCATAGGACAGGTCCATTCAGTCGGTTAAGGGGCTTAGAATTTTATTTTTGGTTTACAATATAAATGCAGTTAGGCTGAACTACGAATGAAAGGAAAAAGACAAAATACAAAATGGAATGACTAAAAGCCTCTACTTCTAGTACTGATCGTTGTTCAAATTTGTGTTTCATAGCATCCTAATTTTTTTCTCCTTATTTTAGAGCCGCTTTATTTGTGTGAAGTGAGAAATTTACTCAGCAAAATAAAAAGTACATAAATTTATATGTAAGTAAATCTACCTAAACTTAAAAGTAAAAAAGCAGGGATGACTACCTCCAGAAAATGAAGATTTTTCACACTGTCCAGCAGGTGGCTCCCCTGCTTTGGACTTAGGTAGGGAGTGCCTGCTGTCCACAAAAAGCTTGTGCTCCAATGATCAGAAATGGCTTCTAAAACCATGTGGTTTATTCCTCTGCTTCCATGTAGATTTGCACCTAAGTCATTCTAAGCATATAAAAATGACCTCAAATAGATTTTGAAAACTTACCACATCATCAAAAAACATTGGTGTATCCCCAACCTGTGTAAATAGGCATTTAAATTAGAAGTAAACACTATGTACACACATTTTCAGATGGAAACTATCTTTCTTAGCAAAACCTGAAACTGTCATGCCTCTTCAAAGGGAGAAAGCATATCTAGCTATTTGCTTTCACAATTTGGTGAAAGAGAGAAAAAATGGTAACGTAAAACTATGTCCAATAAAGTTTATTTCATATAATTTAAAAAATATGTTAAAATAGCCATACCTCTTATATGTATAAGACAGTATCTTTATACTTACTGTTTGGAAAATTTTAATATACACAACTTAATCTAACATGATGTAAAGCTCTCAGGTTTAAATAATCTGTTGGTATTATAAGACAACATTCTTTCCTCTACTTGGTAGGGGTCATTAGCATGATTTAGCATGTGGAAAATGTTATCATTATGCATTTATGATTATTCACAGTAAAGAGGGTATGTGGATGGAAGGGCAATTGAAAAGGTTCACCCCATAGACAATTCCCTTTGCAACTCTTCCATCCTGCTGTGCTACAAACTGCCTACTAACATCAGAAATAACATGGGAGAGAGAAGGGCAAAGGTCAGTTTTTCAACTGTCAGTGTAAAAGGGACTAAGAATACACCACCCCCCACACACACACACACACACACTCACACACTCATTCACTGTACTAGCTAAAACCAGCGTCCCTCACCTGCCAATCTGCTTAGTAAATGGCTCTATCTTGTTGTTGTTGTTTGAGACAGGGTCTCACTCTGTCACACAGGCCGATGTGCAGAGGTGCAATCATGTCTCACTGCAGCCTCACCCTCCAAGACTCAAGCGACTCTCTCCTCAGCCTCCCAAGAAGCTGAGACTATAGATATGTGCCACCATGCCCAGCTAATTTTTGTATTTTTTGTAGAGCTGGGGTCTCACCAGGTTACCCAGGCTGGACTGGAACTCCTGAGCTCAAGGGATCTGCCCACTTCAACCTCCCAAAGTGCTGGGATTACAGGAATGAGCCACCGCGCTTGGCCTGGCTCTATCATTTTTAACTTGCTAATGGTGTGAAATGAATGTGAGCACCTAGATTTGGAATCTAGGTTGACGTCATGGTTATGAGCTCAGCGCTAACGTAGGGATGGTTCCCTCCACACAGCCCCTGGGTGGTCCCCACAGCCCAGGCAGCAAATCATGTGACCTCTCACTCTTTCCATCTTTTCTCATTTTCTGCAAAACCTAAAGACAAAAAGTTGAAAAGATTAGCCACTAAGCAAAATCACCTCAGAAGGAGACAAGGGCTTTTTTTGTAGGACAGGCACAGATTTATCATCATAAATGCAATTCTTGTTCAAAAAGATCTCAAGGCTGAGTCTTCTAGATTGTAGAGGAGTTGGGGGGTAAGCACAGAAGAGAAATGGTGTATGCAGAGACATAGAGGCAAGCACACACATGGGATATTTGGAGAACTGCAGAGGGATGGCCATGTTAGGAGCAGAAGGAGTAAGTGGAAACTAATCAAAGAAAAATGAAATCTATTGTAGGGAAAGTGTCCTACTTAACCTGAGGGAGTAGCCCCACTAGAAACAAATTAAAGAATTATATACACCTAGACAGGATTTTAAAACTTTGTTATCCTAGAGACTTGAGAAGCTATATTCCACTAAAGAAAATATATGTTGACTAATATTTGAACACTTCATGTATCTGTTGTGTCGCTAAAGCAAAAATTTACACGTCTGTTCAGAACAAACACTGGAGCATTCTGCTCGGTCTACTAGGAGGATCCCATGGCCCATTTTTGCTTACTCTTTAATTTTCCATATTTTTTTGTTCACACACCCAGGCTGACACCTGCCAGAGGATGTTTTAGTACTAGAAAGAAATCAATGGATCCTGGCAGCTGTCTCAGCTCCCTTCAAAGAGTGACCTTTAGGTGTGGCAGCCAAAGCATATCTCCCACCATGACATATTATATTTTATAATCCTCAGCTTCAGGTTGCATGTTTTAATAAAGTCTTCTACTAATGTCACCTTCAAGGGTATTAAACCAACACAGCTGATTTCCTTATTCTCCACCCACATATTCTTTTCTTCTTTTTTCTCTTGTACTTGAAAAAAAATGGGAATTGGTGGTACTGAAGCTGAATTTAATTCTTTCAGCTGTGAAAAGTCCAAACATTGCTATACTATTTTAAAGTAACAGATTCCAATACTCCTCATATCTGTAAACCACATGTTGTTTATTTTATGTAGTCATATATTTTAAATAAAAGGAAAAAATATAAAAATCCCCTAGTTCCTATGGACAAATTGCTCATACATACAAAAATGAGCACTCACAAAATGCAAAACCCCAATACTCATAAGACTAAGAGGAAAGGAAATCTGTCCTTGGTTTAAAACCAGCCCATTCTTCATTTTGAAGGCCAGACTAAGATGAGATTTATACTATGGCCTGCAGCCAAAAGTGGACTATTTTGGTAGATATAAATATATATATCTTCTGTTCTCTAAGGAATTAAGCTAAGGGCCCTCTTTCTTGACTTTGCAGGTCTGGCACAACTCTAGAGCCCAGATAGCATTCTCTGGTGAAACTTTCAGCAGTGCAGAAACATTCTGTATCTCTGTTGTCCATTATGGTAGTCACTAGCCACATGTGGCTACTGAGCACTTGAAATGTGACGAATGCCCCTGAGGAATGGAATATCTAATTTTATTCAATTGTAATTATTTTGTATTACTTAAAATAGCACACCTATGGCTAGTGCTTTCTGCATTGGACAGCACGGGCTAAAAAGTGCCAACCTTCAGCAAGATAATGAATTAAATAAAATTATTTTTCATTCTCTACAAAGTACAAGCCAAAATAACTAATTATGGCTTGTACTTTGTAACATCTGTATCTCCCATAAGAACATAAACTCTGAATGCAGTAGCTGCTTCTATCATGTTCATAGAGGCATCCCAGGAGTTAGCACAGGGCCCGGCCAAAGCAAGATTTTGTTTGTGTTTGTTGAATCAAAGGCTTTGTTTGTGTTTTTTGAATGAAAAAATTAATTGAGTGCCACTGAATTCCTACTCCCCTCAGCCTAGGTCCCAATTTCCCAGGACTATGACTAACCACCCCCAAGAAACCTCATCTTCCAACTTCTTAATTCTGGCAAGGAATAGTCAACTTAACCAAAAATTAGCCTATCCTTTTATAACTAGTTCATTGCCCCCAGCTTTTTATGCAGGCCCATTTTAACAAGACTTTTCTGGAGAAAATTATCAAAGGACTGACCATCATGCTAATTAGTAATTTCAAGGTCAGACAATTATAATTATTTTAATTACATTATATTATGACAGGTATATCTGGGAAAGGCAGAAGCCAGTGGAGTAACAATGTGTGTATTTGTTGAGCGATAAGCTAGTGAAATTCTAATCACGCTGGTTAAGGAGACTGTCCTATCTGCCCACATAAAGAACAAGTCATGTGGCCAAGGGCACCCCACTTTACATAAAAATGCATCCTAATTAAATTACATTTTTCTGCCAAAGATCAAGAGAAAATTGTGGAGTTTTAAGTTTGTGTCCTGATGAGTTTTGCACTAGGAAACTCAAACGTTAGCTTTCTCCTCCTAGGTCCCTGTATTAGTCTGCTAGGGCTGCCATGACAAAGCACCACAGACAGGGTGGCTTAAGCCAGGGTCCCCAACCTTTTTGGCACCAGGTACTGGTTTCATGGAATACAATTTTTCCATGGACTGGGGGGCTGGAGAGGGGTGCATAGTTTCAGGATGAAACTGTTCCACCTCAGATCCTCAGGCATTAGTTAGGTTCTCATAAGGAGCAAACAACCTAGATTCCTCACATGCACAGTTCACAATTGGTTTCCCATTCCTATGAGAATCTAATGCTGCTGCTGATCTGACAGGAGGCGGGGCTCAGGCAGCAATGCTCATTGCTGCATGGTCTGGTTCCTAACAGGTTACGGAGCGAGGTTTGCTCTGTAGCTTAAGCAACAGAAATTTATTTCTGACAATTCTAGAAGCTAAAAGTCCCATATCAAGGTGTTGGCAGGGTTGGTTTCTTCTGAGACCTCACTGCTTGGCTTATATAGATGGCCATCTTTTCCCTATGTCTTCACATGGTCTTCCTTCTGTACCTGTCTAAGTCTAAATTTTGTCTTCTTATAATGACACCCATCATATTGGATTATCCCCCGCCCCACCAATTACCTCATTTTAATTTAGTTACCTCTTTAAAGGCCCTATCTCCAAATACAGCCATATCCTGAGATACTGGGGGTTTAGGATTTCAACATAGAAATTTGTGAAGGGGACACCATCAAGTCCATAACAGTCAACCCCTCCTAATGTTCCAATCTCTGTTGCAAGTGGACTTGTTATCTACAGCCAACCACACTAGAATCCTCTGTATTTAAAATTGAGGGATAGTTTGCCTATTGTAACATGAATAACAAACCCTTCCCTCCCCACTGAAGATGAGCATCTATCTCTCTGCTTTTATATATTTACAAGTTCAGGAGTTTAATTGTTATTATGAAGTGTGGATTTACCATTGTTATTGAGCTTTTTCATTCATTGTATATGAAACAGCTATGGACCAGGTGGGGCAGTCTTGTCAGACTGTGGACAAGGACTGCGGGTCCACACTGCCTGGGTTTCAATCATGGCACTGCCACTCATTAGCTATTAGCTAACCTTTCTGTCCCTTGGTTTTCTCCTGTAGAAAATGGATATCATAATAGTGTGTACATATATCACATAATTGCTATTAGAATTTACTGATTTAATAAGTACAAAACACTTAGAACACTGTCTAGAGAGAATACATATTTTATAACTATAAGTGATTATTTGTTGTTAAGTGTATTTTACATTTTAAAAATATATTTTAAAACTGGAACAAATTCAGTTCCAATCAGTCATATGCTTAATTCCAGCTTTATGGTGAATATTCTGATTTTCTCTAAAATGTCCCACTTCTTTCTGGTATACCCAATTTGTTTTACAATAATTCTCTAGTTTATTGAATAGAAATAATGATGATCTCAAGATGAGAGGATTATTCCAAAAGTGTAACTGAGACCAAAGGGTTTGCCAATTTGGAGCATAAGTGAATACCGGGGAGGAGAGCATTTTCTAAAAGCATTTTCATATATTTATGGCACTAGATATATGATGAGTTCTTGGTAAATACTTAAAGATTGGCAGTGATGAAGATGGTGATGATTCACAAAGGAAGGAAGAAACTCAAAGATAAAAGTTACCCAGATTTTAAGAAAAGATCATATAAAAAATCTAAAGTTCAGTCACTTTGATTGTTAATATCTGAACCATGCTAGAAAAAGACAATAAACCTAAAGGGAGTTAAAGTGTCTTTTTTTTTATCCTCTTATGAGCAACCAAAGGCAATAGTGACCAATGTCTTCTTGCACTGGGATAATTGTTAATATTTTCACAGATTTAAATTCATATAATTCAGTTCACATCTTGAGCACATTTTGTGTGCTTCTTCTAGAGTAACAACAAAAAATCAAACATGGGCACTAGAAGAGTAGAATGTAGAATAGGGCCACTAAAAATTGTATATAATGTATACTCAGGATATCTGTGTACATATGTATATGGATGCCTGTACACAGCATGAATTGAGGGAAATGGCTTGAAGGAGCTGAAGCACTGATCTAGAAACCTGTGCAATTATATCAAATAACCCTGAGAACAGTCACCAGTTGCCTGATAGTCAAAAGATGGCCACCAGAAGGAGGAGAAAAATAAAGATGGGCACTGGTCCTATTGAGAGAAAAAGCCAAAAGCAAATTGCCAGTCCAGTGCATATGGGAGCCTGCCTGTATTCTGAAAAGATGGAATACTCTGGTAGGAAAAGATGAAACTGAGTAAAAGAGTAGGCCAGGTTCTTCAAATTATAAGACAGAGCTGTAATAACCAAAACTGGATGGTGCTGGCATAAAAACAGACATATCGACCAATGGAACAGAATAGAGAACCCAGAAACAAATCTACACACCTACAGTAAACTCATTTTCGACAAAGGTGCCACGAACATACAATGGGGAAGAGACAGTCTCTTCAATAATGGTGCTGGGAAAACTGGATGTCCATATTCAAAAGAATGAAACTAGATCCCTATCTCTCACCATTTACAAAAATCAAATCAAAATGAATTAAATATAAGCCCTCAAACTATGAAACTACTACAAGAAAACATTGGGGAAACTCTCCAGAACATTTGTCTGGGGAAATGTGTCTTAAGTAATACCCCACAAGCACAAGAAACCAAAGCAAAACTGGACAACTGAAATCACATCAAGTTAAAAAGTTTCTGCACAGCAAAGGCAACAACCCAAAAGTGAAGAGACAAACTATAGAATGGAAGAAAATATTTGCAAACTACCTATCTGACAAGGGATTAATAATCGGAATACATAAGGAGCTCAAACAATTCTGTAGGAAAAACTCTAATAATCTGATTAAAAACTGGGCAAAAGATCTGAAAAGACATTTCTCAAAAGAAGACAAATGGCAAACAGGCATATGGAAAGGTATTCAACAACACTGATCATCAGAGAAATGCAAAACAAAACTACAATGAGATATCATCTCACCCCAGTTAAAATGACTTATATCCAAAAGACAGGCAATAAAAAATGCTGGCGAAGATATGGAGAAAAGGGAACCCTCATACACTGTTGGCAGGAATGTAAATTAGTACAGCCACTATGGAGAACAATTTGGAGCTTCCTCAAAAAACTGAAAATAGAGCTACCATACAATCCAGCAATCCCACTTCTGGGTATATATTCAAAAGAAAGGAAATCAGTATATCAAAGAGTTACCTGCACTCTCAGGTTTATTGCAGCACTATTCATAATAGCCAAGATTTGGAAGCAACCTAAGTGTCCATCAGCAGATGAATGGATAAAGAAAATGTGATAGTACATATGGAGTACTATTCAGCCATAAAAAAGATTGAGATCCTGTCATTTGCAACAACATGGATGGAACTGGAGGTCATTGTGTTAACTTAAATAAGCCAGGCACAGAAAAACAAACTTTACATGTTCTAAGTTATTTGTGGGAGCTAAAAATTAAAATAATTGAACTCATGGACATAGAGAGTAGAAGGATGGTTACTAGAGGCTGGGAAGGGTAGTGGGGAATGAGGGGAGATGAGGATGGTTAATGGGTACAAAAAGAAGTTAGAATGAATAAGACCAAGCATTTGATAGCACAACAGAGTGACTATAGTCAATAATAATTTAATTGTATATTTAAAAATAACTAAAAGAGTATAATTGGTTTATTTAAAACACAAAGGATAGATCCTTGAGGGGATGGATAACCAATTTTCCATGATGTGATTATTATGCATTGCATGTCTGTACCAAAACATCTTATGTACCCCACAAATATATACACCTATGTACCCACAAAAATTATTTTTTTTAAGAGTAGACCAGGAAAAATGAAACTCCCCAGAGGTTGAAGTAAGAAAAACAGGACAAAATTTCAACCCCATGAGAAAACGGAGCTGCCAAGAACTGCAGAAACGCCCATCTTCCCAAATGACACATAGGCATCCAATGGTGACGTTGGACACAACGCCCAATATGAAGAACAAGCTTTGGTACACAGGCATCTACAGTGACCTTGGACATCATGACTGTGGATATTAAGGACAGGTTTTGGTGTCACATAGATCAAGGTGTGCATCCATCCCCACGGCTTACTAGTTAGTCGCATCATCTTGAACAACTTGCAGAGCTTCTGTAATCCTCTGCTTTCTCCTAAATCTCAGCACTGTACTAAAACACAGTCCCCACCCTGAAGGAGCAGGATTTTGTATGAGAAAAAGACATAGGGACACATCATTAACATTTAGTGAGTCAGGGTGGTGAGCATGGGAATAAAATTGTGTATAAGCTACAGATCTGGCACTATACAGGAGATAATTTGGTTTTGATGAGAATTGGAGGGTGAGGGGTATGGAGGGACAAGAGCAGGGAAGGCTTCCCTGGAAAGGCAATGGATAACACTAGTGCTGGATGTGAGTGATGAAGAGGAGCTGGTGGGTGACTGAGGAGGGAAAGAACATCACAGTTGGCAGGAACAGCAGTGCGAAGGCATGGAATCCCAAAACTGCCTGATATTTCCAAGAAACAGAACTGAGGGCCTGGAGAATATAAAATGTGAAGACACGGAGGTAAGCAAAGCCCCCATCACAGAGGACCTTCTATCCAGGTCAAGAACTTGGCATTTTTTCTTGAAGCTAACAGACTAACATCAAATCATTTCTCTCACTCAAGTCTTAGGCTTTTTAAAAGATTTATTTATTTTTAACTCTCTTAAATGAATTTAGAGCATTTTTTTCAGAAGATTAAATGAATTTAATTAAATTTTCTTACACAAGAAGGATGTATTAGATTTGAAAAGAGGACTTGATATTATTTTCCAAATGCCTACAGTTTCTGTTGTCAAGTTACAAACTGAATCAACTATGTTTGGTTGTCAAAACCAATCAAAGTTAAGATCTAGCTGAGTTACAATTGACATTTTCCTCATCTGATGTATGTAATACTCTGGATTCTTGGGCTTCTCTACTGTGCTTCAATACACAAATAACAATAGTTTCACATGAAGACACACTACTGTATATGAATCCTTTTGAAATGACTGAAGATTTATCCTAAATGTAAACCTTAGTAGGGAAAATCACTACATTAGACAATAATTATAATTAATGTAATAATAGTTAAAGGCACTCAAAACTTCATGGAGAACAAAAGGTTAGAGACAGAAAAATGCTTAGACTGACAACTTCATGGTAACTACATGACAAATCCAGAGGACACTACTCACATGCATTCAGTGGGAATGGCACCCCCTACGGTTGTGCAGTGCACAATTGACATAGGAGTATGCAGCAGCTCTGGCCAATTCAGGGATTAGACTGTTAAACCTTATGCTGCAAAAAAGAAATGACAGACAAACTGGTATAGAAATGTCTAATCAAAAGCTCCAGGAAAATAATACTGGTTGTGCTGATGTTTAACTTCAATGAAAATTCATAAAGTTTCATGTAATTAATTTTCAAGTCTCCTGTAGTTCAGAGATCTCTATGAAAACTTTTCCTGAGTATCTTTGACAAAACAGCCAAAGGATCTGACCTTCCCAGGAGCTGTTATTTAAAGAGGAAGGACAGTAGTAGTCACTTTATTATTTGCTCCTTTCTCTCTCTCCTCTCCCTCTCTCTCTTTCTGACCAGAGAAGAATCTCTAGAACAAAATTATGCTTCCTGAGATGAACCCAGCAATTTTTAAGGTGGTGGTTATTAAGTAGAGGATGACCGAATGATTTAGTATGGTTGATAAAACTGTGATTCAGTAGCAAAGACTATATTTTTCAGAATTTAAAATTGTAATTTCCATCTTGATGGCATTTGTAATTATTATATTGCTTACACATTTTTATGTTTTTCATAAGAACAGCTGAGAATACATTTAGTTAACCAAAGCCTCCAAGGAAAATTTCATTCCTCTATTATTGTTATTATCATATCTACATGTATTATTACAGAGCTTACAATAAGCAGGGTTTAATAAGTGAGTTGTTTAATATAAGAAACGAGCCTATGATATAACACATATACAAGCACACACTATGCATACATATAATTGTTCCTTTTGATGGTATTCTTCCTCTCCCAGGCTAAAATGTACTATTGATAAAGGAGAACAGGAAGGAAGTTGCTGGCTTTTTCCCTCTCTAGTTTCAGAGTACATGTAAAGACTCTATGGGCTGACTCAGAGGATACACAATATACATTGTTAAGAAGCTTCAGTCTCACCTACTCAGATTTAATACTAGGACATAGTTACCTCTAAAACATACTTTTCCTATACAAGACTTTATACGCTAGCTTTGTTTTTTAGCAGTCTTAGATATCAGTTTCTTGGTTGATAGCAAACCCACGATAAACAAGAACCTGTTTCCTGCAACATGTGTGGTAAGTGTGGAGAGCCATCTGGAAGGTAAGGGAATGAGGAAGCGGTGTGTAACCATCCATGATTTCACCAGCAAATAAACTGTATGGAACTCTCAAGTGTCTATAGGACTGTTTCAGCATATGTTCAAATTGTGCCCATCCAAGCAGTTTGGAGGAATAAACTTCTGTTACAATAATGTACCACCAGAGAACATGAGTAATTCTAACACATTCAACCTTCCCTTTCTATATATCTTTGCTTACAAAAAAGTGAAGCCCAATTGAATCTGAAAAAAAAAAAGAAAAAAAAAACAGAAAATGACTGATAGAGACCCATATTTCTGACCCAAGGAAATCAGAATTTGTTGCTGAAACCCAAGTCATATTTTCAGGGCATCCAGTATATTTTAAATGTATATGAAAAATATGTCTCTTAACACATGCTTAAGAAAAGGAGCTCAACTTTCTGAGACTAGATTTATTTGTAATTGATCAGGAATGTTTTTTGACCCAAGAAAAGGAAAATTCCCAGGCAACACATTCATGAACCAGTTTTATTCTAGTTTTTTTCATAAGGCCAGCTGCTGAGTAGCTGACAACTGGGAGATCCAGAATATTCTAGTTGATTAAGGAATCCCTCTGAGAGATTTGAATTGCAATATTTTTTCCCTGGAATACATTGTAAAGCAATTTAAGAACTTTCCATCCCTCAGTATAACTGACTCAAAAATCCATTGAGAATAGTTATCTTTTAAATAAACACTCAAAGACTTTAGCTATTTTTAGAACACATAGCTTCGTCCTGGCAGATTTACAAATCCCATCATGAGGGGTTAGTGTATTTCACTGCATAGGGAAGGATTCTCTTCTTTGTCTCTGAAACCCTGGAGCTTCTACATAACGACTTGTTAACCTTTCCATAATATTATGCAATGATGCAAAAGTCTAATACTTAATTCTAAGTCATGGTTCTGTGAGAGTCTTTTCTTTCTGGAAGTTACCTTTTTTCAAAGCATTAATAAAATTATTATAATGATCCGTATTTCTTGTCTTATTCAAGTAGTTATCTGAAGAGTTATGTGTAAATTTTTATGAATTTAAGCATATTTTTAAAACTCCAAGGGCATACGTTTTTCAAAGAATCTATAATTAATCTCATAAGGCCATGAGTTTTTCCTTAAAGGGAAAATTCAGTTATTAATTATCCTGCATTCATAGATAGGTATCTTCACTTACCACAAATACTAAAAGTATCAATAATGTATGGAGAGTAATTAATAGTACAAAATCATTTTACAAAAAGTGGGAAATAAGGAGAAAAAAAGATTTATCCTCCTGGCCTATTACTATGAGTATGTAATCTCATATTTGATGTATCTTTGAGCACATTGTATCTACTTGAAATAAGAAATGTTTAATTAAACTGGAAAATAACCACTTATGACTCCAGGGTAACTTTTTTGCTGCTCCATAATCACGATCTTTTCAATATGACTTTAAAAAAGTAGCATCTAATTTCATTATGCTTAACCTAAATTATTCTTTAGATTTTTACATTTACATATTTGTATGTACACATATACATATATACACACATAACATTTTATATATACATGTATATTTATATATTTATATGTATCTATTTTTATATATTTAATAAGTATATTTTTATATATTATATGTATATATTTTATATATTTAATAATTTTATATTTCATAAAAATTTTTTATATATGAGATATGGCTTGGCTGTGTCCTCGCTCAAATCTCACCTTGAATTGTAATAATCCCCACGTGTCAAGGGCGGGGCCAAACAGAAATAATTGAATCATGGGGGTGGTTTCCCCCATACTGTTCTAGTGGTAGTGAATAAGTCTCACGAGACCTGATGGTTTTATAAATGGAGTTCCACTGCACAAGCTCTCTTGCCTGCCACCATGTAACACATTCCTTTGCTCTTCTTCCGTCTTCTGCCATGATTGTGAGGCTACCCCAGCCATGTGGAACTGTGAGTCCATTAAACCTCTTTCTTTTATAAAGTAACCAGTCTCAGGTATATCTTTATTAGCAGCATAATACAATATATAAATGCATATGTTGACAATGCTCAACTTTATCTGAGCCCTGTGTTCCAGGAAATCAGGGATGGTTAAGAAATCCCCTCATCCTTTTGTGTTCCTCAAAAGACCTTACTTACTGCAAAGAACCCCTCTTCCCCATAGGACTTGGCTAAGACTCATGGAATCTCCCTTGTTTATCTGTGACATGGCCAGACACAGACCTTTCAAATTCCCTTTCTTGCCTCATAAATGACTAGCTGAACTGTTTGTCTGTTTGTGTCCACTAACCAATCTGGAGAAAATATTGATACCTACTACCTGGACTTGGCCAAACTTTAATTAGGCTTCTCTCTTCCCCTTAGGCCCTGGAACTTTGACCCACTCTCATCCTGAGACAGCACACAGCCTCTCCTTAATCGCCTCTTACCAAGAAAGGACTGACCACAGGAAAGATGTTTCCTCACTGTAGGATCAACTGTGGGATCACGCTACCCACTCCCTCATATGTGCTTCTTTCTGACCTTCTGTGCCCTTCCCTATAAAAGAAAAATCCTTTCTGCCTGGCCTTTCAAATGCTTACAGATCTTAAGGTAGGAGCATTCTCCCCATTACAATAGTTCCCCTATCACAGTAGTCCCCTCTCCTTATTGTGATAATTCTTTTGAACAGATTCTCTATCTAAATTCAGATTTGACTTTATTTGACAATGTCTGTGTGCATACCATATATGTGTGTATATATGTATATGTATATATAGATATATATATGCACACACACACACACATTCAGAGAAGTGAACTCATTTTGCTCTGATTTGGATTAACAATAAGGAAATTAGATAGATGTAGCCCATTTTTGTCTTCCTTGAGTAACAATATCAGAAAAGGAGCTTGTGAGTATAAAACCTACAAGGGCTGTAAGGAACCAGAATGAAACAATTTGGTTATCAATGTTTTCTTTCCACTTATATCACTGTAAGAAATACTTAATGCAGAGTTAAGACATCAAACTCACTTAAGCTACAACTCACCTTAGGCTAAAACTCTGTGTGTAAGAAACAAATTTTCTCTAAGGAAAATTTTCCTGAAAGAAAAGTAAGACCTTCAATAACTTCACAAGTTGGAGCCAAGTCCTCTGGTCTATGATGCATCTATTCATTAGGATCCTGCCACTTTTGAATTATTCAGATTCATTATAAAATGCAGCTTTCATCTGAAAAAAAAAAGTGTACCTCCAAGAGATGCTAAATTTAGTTCTACTGGAGATAAAGTGGTGTGTGCTTCCATAATCATGTCAACAGCCCGGCTTTTATCTCTACTAAACTCCTGGGCAGCACAGCTGGGATGCAGCCACCCAAGGCAGAAATCTGGACACCATGTAACCAGTCTGCCTATTGCTAAGAAGCATTAACATTCTATTTAAACTGTCCTATATTGTTGGATAAGAGCTGTTTGAAATAATGTTTTAAACTTGTGGCTTTTTTTAAATTATAGATGCATCAATTATACTTCAAAAAATTTACCCATATATCTAACACTAATACTAATATTCTATATTATATAACTCTCTCTCTCTCTCTGCATCTTTTCAGCTTTAAATTGTAGAAATTTCTCAGAAACCAACCTTATAACATCCTCCTCTGTAACTATAAGCTATTAAATGAATTTTATGGATACACATGGTTATAAAACTTCGCTGCAGATTATATTTTAGAAGGTGGATGATTAAATTAATTTGTAATTAATATGGCCAGATTTGATATAATAACAAATTAGCCATAATGCTAATGAGTGGTAATTAAATGAGCAAGGCAGAAATTTTAGAACTCCCCAGACCATGTTGAAGAGGTCCGGCACATCTTTATTTTGATGTGTTTTCTTTTCACCATTATTTTCAAATTGTTTTGGCAACCACACTCAAGTATCAAGATACAAGGCAGGGTTTTGGAATCCATGAAAGGCTGGAATATTTACTCACCACTGTACTGGTATTTCCTCGTGGAATACTTCCCTGGCCTCTCCCATTAGGTCAAATCCCATTGCACACTCTCATAGTGTCATGCACTTTTTTAAGGCACCCATCATAAGGACAAATTTAACACACATCATGTGCTTGTTAAATGACAGCTTCCCCCACTAGACTGTCAGCTCTGAGACCAGAAGGCCACATTTTTATTCACCAGTACATTCCCAAGCACAAAGCCTGTCACCTAGTAAAGACGTAACAGATACATTTGTTGAATTAATAAATTTGGTTTCACCAAAAATAAAATGAAATAAAAATTTGTTAAATTATTGTTTGCTAATTTATGGATTAGAAGCCTCATTTATGCATTGCACTTCCTTATTTATAAATGTCAGTGTGGAAATAACATCACCTTCTTGAGGTGGGAGAGAAGGGTCTTTATTTTGCACTAATTAGCCAAACAATAACAAGATTCTACAAATGTGTCTAGGAGTATCTTTTCAGATACCTCGTCCACGGATAAATATATCAAACTTAGTTTATAACCCCCAGATAGATGCTATGCCTTCTAAATGTATACTCTACACTTTATAAGGCTTAATAATATTTTCTTTTGTGTATAAAAATAATGGTACTGACATATGAGATTCAAGCTGTTTTTCTAGAAGTGATCCATCCATTCTCTCCCTTCTGCCACCCACCTTCTTCCTGGTAATCAATGATATCCATTGTAAAGCAGCTGGCTAAGATTCCAAGTGAGTTGAGGGCTTACTAGGTTGAGCGAGACTAAACTGGCTGCCACTGGAATAAGACCCTCAATTTTGGCTTCATCCCTATTTTGCCCCTCCCAGTTGCGTTCACCAAATGTTTCTGGCATGACTGTTAACCGTAACTGTTTGCCAAAATTCCAACATTATTTTTAAACGTTTAATAGACAAAAAAATTGAAATAAACTTTACAACAAAATGAAAATTGAAGAAGTAAATGTTGCCTAGAGGAGACACAGAATAGATTCTGCTGTAACTCCTCAGTTGATAAAGGACAGATTGTAGGTCTGAACAGTAGAACTGTGGCTGTGGAGGAGGGGGCATGAGGAAGGAATATGAAAGGAGTATAGCCTTTGTAAAGTTTTTGCTAGAGGCATGGCTCTTGAACTTCCTCTGTCCCATCAAGAAATGGCAGCTAGCAATGTCCAGACTAAAAGCCAATGAATAGCAAAGCTGTCCAAGAGAAACAAGAGGAGGCTGGCTGGGCTCTCAGGGGTCCTGGGTCTGGTCTTCTGCTTTGGTATTGTTGTTGTTGTTTTGCTTTGCTTCCGTGATTCCCAATCGTACCTGTCCAAGGACTCAACTGTATCCATTCGCTCAGGGGTGATCAGGCCCTGGGAAGCTGATTCATGCTAACCAAGCTCATAGGAGATGGACAAATAAAAAAGGAAGTTAACTGATTTACTTACAAAGAGAAATGTGACTACTGGGCAGATGGAACTAGTTATACCACTTGGTCAATTCATTCTATTTTCCACTAGAAAAGTGTACCTGGGAAACCAGATTGAGAAAAGAGAGTTGTTTTGTAAATATAGTGTTGTAAATAAATTATTCTCAAGATACACTCTCTCGCTGTAGCTTTCTGCACTAACCACTGACTACTGACAGTAGGCATATTCTGTCAAGGTGATTGAAATATTCATGCTAGATGGGCAGGACACTCACTCCCTTAGATAAGTAAAATAATAAATATAAAACACTTGGTAGGATACTTGATACATAGAAAGTGCTCAGTTAATACAAACCATTACTATTATGGTGCTGTCAGTATTTTGACAATATAGCATAGTGGGATGACAACATGGCCTTTAGAGTTAAATCCTTGCTCCATCACTCACTTCCTGTATGCCAATGGGAAGGTTCTTAACCTCCTGAGCCTCATTTCCCCTATCTGTAAAATGGGTATAATAAGAGTAAATTTACAGGGTTATCCTTAAAAGTAATTAAAATGTTGTGTAAAAATCACTTGATTATTGTAAGCACTGAATGTTCATTTTTAATAATAAAAATAACAAACACTCATATAGCATGTGCCAGATACTGCTTTATATATATTTACTCATTTAGTCCACATTATAAGGGGTAGTTGAAGAACTTGTCACTGGTAGATTGTATTTACCAATATCTGCTCCTCTTCCCTGAGAAGGTTTACATTTGTCCTACTCCATGAAATCAGACTTGACTGTGGCTTGCTTTGACCAGTCAAATGTGAGTGGAAGGGACATGTGACTCTACTGGGCAGAAGCTTTTAAAGACCATTTTTGCATCCCTACCTCTGGGATTGTAGAAGTATTTGCTGGGATGGAGTCCCCATTAGCCTGTGTTCCTGAGTGACCATTACTTACCTGTGATGGACATGTAGTACAAGCAAGAAATAAGCCATTGTGTTATATTGTAGTAGATTTTCAGATTTTTGTTACTATAGCACAACCCAGCATACCCCAACTGATACAAGAGCATAGAGACAAAACAAAATTTTCCCAAAGACACAGAGCTAGGAAGTGTCTGGCTGCAGCGTCTGTACACTTAATCACTTTGCCTGCTGTTTCTCAATAATTGATAGTATAATAATATCAATATTAAGGATGGTTTATTATTAATGCATTATTGTTGTTGTTTGGAGGTCTGTTTCTACACTTTGTAAATATACTTTTTTTTCTGAATACTCAAAAGGAATCCTAGCCTTTCTCTAGATTCTACAGCAACAACAGCTGGCAGATGCCAGAGACACCACTGGAAAAGTTCTCAATAGACAATGTGGATGATACTGGGCATGTTCCTTCTTTATATACCCTCAGGCAGCCCCCAAAGGCATGGTCACTATGTCTGTTGGAAGAGCCTGGTTTGAACATTCACACTAACAGCCCCCTCTCCACAGTATCTCATAGAATGATTTTAAATATCTATGGCCAGTAAGTGAAGGGTAGCCCACTTCTCACTCTCACTCAGCTTTCAGAGATGGATGCCTCTCCTCATACTTCTTTTCCCATTAGCCCATCATCTGTTTCCTTTCTTTTGTCTCTCAACAATGAACAGAGACTTCAAATGTGTTTTCAGGCTCTAATTGAAAGCGTATTTCTACACTGACATCCATGTAATTTCCTCTGTTGTAGCAAGATTCCCCAGAACTGTAAGGTCCTGAAATTCGGGAATTCAGTGAGGGAATCTGCCTGGGTTAGAAACATAACTACACACGGAGAAGTGAGAAGCTTCAATCTCTGCTCTTCCCACGGAAATTGAAAATGTTTTAGATAAAAGCAGAAGGAGCAAAGGCTTAAGTAGTGATAAAAAGCAAAAGCGTTATGGGGAAAAGTAATAGTCACATATACTAAACATAAATTTATAAAAGCAGCCCAGAATCATGGCACACATTGGAATGCATTAAATTATAAGTTGGAAATCTATCCAGGAAAAGTGTAAATACATATTTAATAGGAATGACCATTGAAGAGGTAATAGTTATATTCATTTTTTATTTATTGCCTGTTATTCAACAAGTAATCAATGAAAGTCATGAATAAATAAGAAGGGCAGCTACTTCTTAACCCTTTTATTTCTCTTTAAGCTCTAGTGATTACCTACTTCATAGTTTTTCCTTTGTAATAAAATATTTATTAATTATATTTCTTTAATATTATTTTTATATATCTCTACTTGATACTTCTCCAGCCTGCTAAAATTGATTTTTACATAAAACTTTTAAAAACACAAAGTAATAAAATTTAGTTTCTTAAAATAGCCAACAGGACAAGTTAGAAAAATATATATTGGGAAAGCTCACTAAAATGCTCCCCTTGGGTTCTTTCTAATTTCAGTTTTATAGATGTGATCACCTTTACAATGCAGTTCTTTTTGTACTTAAAAAGTCAAATCACTCTGGATAGAGTTCAAGACTTTAGATGAATTCCACTTCATTGCAAATAGCATTTTATCAGTGATATAGTGTAATTCCACATCTTGCTCCCAAGAGATCTTCAGAACTCTCATGAGTGAAACACTTCCAAAATTACTAACAATGTACTAGAATATGTTGGCTACGTAAGTGAAGTTGTAGTATCCCTTTCTGAAAGCCTTAAAAAACAGGAAAAATTTCCATTTTGAGATTTTAATATTATGTTAACAACCAAATGTCTATAGTTTGAATGTTTGTGTCCCTTCCAAAATTCATGTTGGAACTTAATCCCCAATGCAATAATATCAAGAGGTAAGGCCTTTAGGAGGTGATTAGTGCCCTGTAAAAGGGCTGGAGGGAACTAGCTAGGCCCTTTTACCTTCTTTTGCCTTTCTTTCCCTTCAGCCATTTGAGGAGACACCGTTCCTCCCCTCTGAAAGACGAAGCAAGAAGTCACCATCTTGGAAGAAGAGACTGTGCTCTCACCAGACACTAAATCCACTCCTGCCTTGATCTTGGATTTCTCAGCCCCAAGAACTGTGAGAAATAAATTTCTGTTGTTTATAAATTACCCAGTCTCAGGTATTTTATTATATCAGCACAAGAAGGACATCATGGAGAAGAAACAGAGGGAAAGGTCTTTTAACATGTGAGGGTGGAATGGAATGGAGTTATTTTGATCCAGTGATTGTCTTGAAAAGGTAGTGAGGACTGAATCATCCTATCATCCTAAATAAACACAATGGCTATGTAAGGAGACCAATTTCATGTACAATAGTGAAAAAGAAAGAAAGGAAGAGCAAATTGACTGCTACAGTTGGATATAGACATATGGCAAAAGTATGGAAAAATGCAAAAGATACGCTAAACAAGTCCCTATACTGGACCCACGTAGGTGCTAGAATATGAATTAAAGAAAAACACAAGTGTGGGATCTTCCAGAAGCACCTTGATTTCAGTTTCCTTGCTAAATACTAAGTCCTGGTCTCTGCAACAATTTGGACACTGTAATTATAATTCTTATTCATTATATTGTCGTTAGTCATTTTTCTTTCTGCAATTTTTTTCTCCAGCTTTTAATATCAGATAAATGTAATATTGAACTGCAGAAAACACTAAACAATTTATTTTTCAGTCTCAGCTCAATTTACTCTAAAGCCAATGCCCCTTTGCACCACTCCATGCTGTCAATCCCCCAACTTGCTGAGGGCACATTTCTCATTTTTTTCCAGCTCCTTCCTTACTTATTGGAAATTACACTGGAATTAAATATTTTTAGAAATACAAACCAACACATTTAACCAGAATTGGTTAATTCCCACTCCCTCTCTCTAGATAGTAGGGAATACTAGTCTAAATCATGTATAAGGAAACTTTTTCAGTAGGCAACGCAGAATTGTACCACAGCCTCCTAATTCAGTGATTATGTCTTTCCAGGATGGTTATTAATCATTCAACCAACTGGAAGCAAGGTAAATTGAATCTACTAAACTTATAAACAAAGAGCATTTATTAAAATACTTAGAGGAGCTCTGAAAATCAATAGCAAGTCTGGAGAATTAATTGGGAATCAAGTGTTTCAGATCTAATGCATAAGAACTAAAGGAAGAATCGTATAGAAAAAGATATCTTCTTAGAGCAGCACCACTGGAATAAAAAGTCTCCAACAGAGCCCAGGCTCTTTTTCTCTCAGCTAATAATTCAAATTCAAAGGAGGTCATTTGTCCAGCTCTTGGGGAAAGGACACCAGATTAACAGGCCCCAAACTCAATGGAGGAGAAAAAGGAGCTATTGGAAGTGTGGAAATGTTCTCTACTCTTGTTTAGTAGTAGTCCACTACTCTAGTGCTCAAGCTGAAATACCAGCAGCTAGTATGTGAGTTATAATAATAGAAAATCAATTCTGTCTGAAAAGCTCTCTCTTGGAATAATTTGAACAGCATTTGCTCAATCACATCTAACAATCAGCTTCTGTTACTAAACCAAACAAAAACATTAAGAAATCTCTGACAACACTAAGTGGGCTTAAGTCAGAAGTTAACAAAGAAATAAAAATAACAAAAACCTCATTTCTCCATGTTTATCCTCACCTGGCAAACAAACAAATAACAGCTAACATATATGCTGTCTAGTTTTGTGCACTGTGACTTACATCTTTTGTATGTATTATCTCATTTAATTCTCACAAAATCTGAGATGTAGGTATTATTACTACCCTGAGGGAGATTATATAACTTGGCTAGTCTCACCACTATCAGGTAATCACACAGGGCCTGCATTCTTATTCCTGCACTAGGCTGCCTGGACCCAATGGGACTGATATGGTTTGGACCCAAATGTCATCTTGAATTGTTGTTCCCACAATCCCCACGTGTTGTAGGAGGGACCTGGTGGGAGGTAATCAAATCATAAGGGAGGTTATCCTCATGCTGTTTTCATAATAGTGAGTGAGTTCTCACAAGATCTGATGGTTTTATAAAGGGCTTTTCCACCTTTTGCTCAGCACTTCTCCTTGCTGCTGCCATATGAAAAAGGACATGTTTGCTTCCTCTTGCACCATGACTGTAAGTTTCCTGTGGCCCTCCCAGCCATGCTGAATTGTGAGACAATTAAACCTCTTTCTCTTATAAATTAATTACCCACTCTCGGGTACGTCTTTATTAGCAGCGTGAGAAAAGACTAATACAGGGACTCAGCCACATGGATGGAGTTTTAGAGGAGGCAGAACAGTGTAGTGGATAGAACCATGGGCGTGAGTTAAAAATTGCAGGCTGGCTGTTTACTAGCTGTGTGACTCCAGGCAAGAAATTTCAACCCCCACAAGCCTCAATTTCCTCATTTGTGAGATGGAGAGAGTCCTATCAGAGTCAGCATGTCATGTTGCAAGATTGCACTGTTGTGGCAAGGAAGAAAGGGGAAATGTACATAAAGTACCTAGCCTTGAGTGCTGATCACAAAATAAGTGCTGAACAATTGATGGCCATTATTAGTTACATGTCTGTCTCTCCTTATAGACTAGTCTTGGAGACCCAGGTAATCCTCCTGATATTTGTATCCCTAGCACCTTTCTGTGACAGGCACATTAACAAGCCCATATAAAATCTTCTGAACATAAAATGTTTATATCAGGGTACACACTGCCACATTATAATCTAGGGTTATAATAAGCACCTCTTTAACACTACAGCTCTAGGTCATCCCTGCTCCTTAAGCAAATGATGCCTTATCCATCCCCCTCCTCCACTGGACTCAGACTGCTAACTTCATGAGGTCAGGGTCTGTATCTCATGTTCTCCACGTATTCCCAGTGCCTAGCACAGAGCCCAATGCATAGTAGGGGCTTATCACTTGTGGACTGAATTTTTAATAGACATTTGTAATATGTCTTACAGCTAACCTAACACTTTCACATAAACATGTGCAGCATCTCTGCAGCACAGGTTAAAGACACAGGGTCTGGAGCCAGACTGCCTGAGCTTAAAATTTAGTTACACCATTTACTAGCTGAGCGCCCTCAGGAAATATACACAGACTTCCAATGCCTCCGTTTTCTCACCTGTAAAATGAGATTAATAACGATACTGAGTTGGTGTGAGTATTAAATTGTTAATTCATATAAACCTCATAAAACAGTACCTAGCACAAAATGAGTGTTCTTTAAATGTCAGCAATTATTAATTTTGTTTGTAGCTATTTTTCTCCCATTTAGCTGTCAAGAATATATTGTCTGCCTAAATCATTTCTTTTTTCATGTAAGAAAATATAAAAAGTGGCATATTTACTTCAAAATTCTAAAATTCATGTGCAGCAGAGAGCAAATCATAATCTCAAGAAAATGACTTCCAAAGTTATTTGCAAAAAGAAATGTATTTATAGGAACTGTTCTTAAAATAAAAATCCTCAATGGCCCTAGATATTTTGTACTTTGTCTCTTCAAAATCATTTGTGTTGGAATCTTCCCCAGAAGCATTTGTCATTATTCTTTCCACAAACAAGAACAGCCATATTGACTTGAACGTAAGTATTCATGTGAGTAAACACACACACACACACACACACACACACACACACACACCAGGCAAATTAATCTCACACATGGGCTGTACCCTGCCTGCACCGAAAACCTCATTGCCTTATTAAGGCAAAAACCATGTTAATTCCAGTATGCAGCTCCCCATCTCCTAGAGTATGAACCTAGAGATCAAGCCACACATTCCTGAAGCCATCACTTGACCCAACTTCAAACGATACTACAAGGCTACAGTAATCAAAACAGCATGGCATTGGTACAAAAACAGACATATAGACCAATGGAACAGAATAGAGAGCTCAGAAATAATGCTGCACACCTACAACCATCTCAGCTTCAATAAAGTCAACAACAACAAGCAATAGAGAAAGGACTCCCTATTCAATAAGTGGTGCTGGAATAACTAGCTAGTCATGTGCAGAAGATTGAAATTGGACCTCTTCCTTGTACCATATACAAAAATCACTCAACATGGATTAAAGACTTAAATGTAAAACCTAAAACTATAAAATCTCTGGAAGTTAACCTAGGAAATACCATTCTGGACATAGGACCTAATAAAGATTTCATGACAAAGACACCAAAAGCAATTACAATAAAAACAAAAATTGACAGTGGGATCTAATTAAAGAACTTCTGCACAGCAAAAGAAACTATCAAGACAGCAAACAGACAACCTACAGAATGGGAGAAGATATTTGCAAACTATGCATCCAACAAAGGTCTAACATTCAGAATTTATAAGGAACTTAACAAGCAAAAAAATAAACACCCCATTAGAAAGCAGGCAAAGGACGTGAACAGACACTTTTCAAAAGAAGACATATACGCGGCCAACAAGCATATAAAAAGGTGTTCAACATCACTAATCCTTAGAGAAATCCAAATCAAAACCACAGTGAGATACCATCTCACAGTCAGAATAGCTAAAAGTCAGAAAATAACACATGCTGGCAAGGTTGTGGAGAAAAGCGAATGTTTATACAATGCTGGTGGGAATGTAAATTCATTCAGCCATGTGGAAAGCAGTGTGACAATTTCTCAAAGAACTTAAAACAGAATTACCATTTGACCCCAGCAATCCCATTAGTGGGTATATACACAAAGGAATATAATTCCTTCTACCATAAAGACACATGGACATGTCTGTTTGTCACAGCACTATTCACAATAGCAAAGCATGGAATCAACCTACATGTCCGTCAATAGTGGACTGGATAAAGATAATGTGGTACATATACACCACAGAATACTACACAGCCATAAAAAAGAATAAGATCATGTCCTTTGCAGCAACATGGATGGAGCTGGAGGGCTTTATCCTAAGCAAACTAATGCAGAAACAGAAAACCAAATACTATATATTCTCACTTATAAGTGGGAACTAAACAATGAGACCACATGGACACAAAGAGAGGAACAGCAGACACCAGGGACTACATGAGGATGGAGGGTGGGAGGAGAGAGAGGGTCAAAAAACTACCTATTGCATACTAGGTGCTTATTACTTGGGTGACAAAATAATCTGCACTCCAGCCCCCCGCGACACACAGTTTACCTATATAACAAACCTGCACATGTAACCCTGAATCTAAAGTGAAGGTTTAAAAATCCAAACCATCATATTTAATCCTTTACATTTCTCTACACATTGGAGAGATGAGGAGAAGAAAAGTAAAGGCACAGGGGACATCTGAGTGTTTCATCTACCTTCAATACTGTAATGTTCCAAGCAAAGCTCTCAGTTGCTTTGTTGAGTTTTCTTCCCTTCAAGCCTTCTTTTGCCCCCAAATTATGAAGTTCTTCATGGAACTCCATCCCTTTGAAGAAAGAATGCATAAGAAATCTGAGTATATATCTCAGAAAAATGGGCATCTTATAATGAAAATATTATCAGTAAAATATAATTTCACATTCCTGTCTTCTCATAATTTCCAAATCCCTAAATTGAATTATCCTTTTCATTCTGTTCATCCCACCAAGTAGCTGTCCTTATGCACAAATTGACAACAGTCAATGCATTAGGCTAAATTGTATTTAAAACAGCCAGGAGCCATAGAAAATGACATGAGAAGGAAAAAAGTAAATTCTATGGGTACAAAAAAATAGGAAGAATGAATAAGACCTAGTAATTGATAACACAACAAGATGACTATAATCAATAATAAGTTAATTGTACATTTAAAAGTAACTAAAACAGTATAATTGGATTGTTTGTAACACAAAAGAGAAATGCTTGAGGGGATGGATACCCCATTTTTCATGATATAATTGTTACACATTACATGCTTGTATCAGAACATCTCATGTACCCCAAAAATATATACACCTCCTATGTACCCACAAAAATTAAAAATTAAAAAAAATTTTAATAAGTAAATAAGTAAGAAGCAAATTATTCCAACAGGTTACATGGACCTTGTTTGTCCTCTTCCTGGTTTATGCATGAAATGGTCTGATGTGTCAATGGCAACCATATGTGAGGAATGCATATGTCTTATTTTTCTTTATGAACCATCCCTGTCGCTTAATAGTAGGTCCTGGAACCCACATAGATAACAATGAGTAATCAGTAATGTTGGCTAAAAATAAAAAGGCTTTTTTAAAAATAGCATTTTGGGAAACACCCAAGTATTTCAGATTTGGGAATGACCTTAAAGTATTTTTAGCTCAACCATCTGCTCGAGCTTGAAGATTATGAAAACCATCACCATCACATTTCTTCAGCCTTTGTCTTAGCACCTTAAAGATGGAAATCATATTCTCTTATGAACAGCTCATTCCATCTTCAGAAAGCTATGACTGACATCAAGCCAAAAATCTCCTTCCTTGGAACTTCTACTCCTTGGTGCTAGCTGGACACAGACCAAAAAGGTCTAAACTCTTTTCTACAGTGCAAGCTTTTAGATATTTGAAGAAAGATATTGGGTAAAATCCCTTCAAGTCTTCTCTCAGTTAACCATTCAAACATATTCAGCTTGCCAATGAAACTCTTCTTTAAAGATGGCATCCAGGCAAGGCCACTGCATTGCCCAGTTTCCTGGAGCTGAGCTCTGTGGGAACTTGCCTCCAGGAGTGAACGCTGTACTCAAAATGGGCTTGGAGAAGCCTACATGAGGTCAGGGATCTACCACCATTCTCCTTGTTCTAGTTTTTATATTTTTATTAATGCAGCCTAAGACCACGTTAACTTTCCTGGTGCTAACATCACAAACATAGCACATAGTAAAGAACATGAGTGTGGAGCCCAGCTCTACCACTTACTAGCTATGTGAGTCTCGGAAAGACCCTGACATCTCTGGTCTTCAGTTTCCTCACGGGTGACATGTGGTTAACAAGTGGGTTTACCTCATGGGACAGAGGTAAAGCTTAAGTCAATCAGTACATATAAAGATCTCAGAGCAGTGCCTGGCATCATGTAAGTATCAGGTATTATTATTTTTGTGCTTCCTGTCAACAGAAATATCTAAGCCTGCTGGTCAGCCAGTGAAAAGCACCATTTTAAAAGTTTGGTCTGGATTCAAAGGGCAGCTCCACCGCGTGTTGATATGGCACCTAGGGTAAGTCACTCAGTCTCTCAGAATCTCAGATGCCTCATCTATAAATCGGATATAATGATGATTACTTTGCAGAGTTGTCATGAGTAAGATAGTGTGTGTGCTTGGTATAGCATATGCAATGTATCAAGCAGTTGCTACTATTGTCATCTTCCTCGTCATAATCATTATCGGGTATGTGGATAGAGAAGGTTGTGGATCCAGGAGATGAAAGCACAAGGGTGTGGATGAAGGTGAACAGAAATAAACAAGTACACTCTCACAGATATGTGACTCATCCCATACTTAAAAAGAAAGAACAAATCTAAATCTAAAGTGAAGACTAGTAATGGGGCAAAAGCCTGGAAGATTAATAGGATTTTGGTTCCAATTGTAAAATTGAAGTGGGTTTTAAGGGACTGTATGGAACCATAGCTTCAATACCAGCAGTAGAAGGTTTTGATGGGGTTCCAAACCACAAAACTAGATTCAGAAACCCTCATCCCTCTAGACTTCTTCAGACACCACCCCAACCCTGTACGCTCACATACAACCCACCTATTATCACTTGGATTTCATCTGTACTAAACAAAGACTAAAGTGTAACTTAAAGTATAGTTAAGCATTGCTATAAAATAACTGCATTTTAAGAGAAGCAGAAAGTTTCTGAAAAAAAAATCTACCAAGAATTATTATAGTTTCCAAACAAAATAGAAAAAAAAAACAGAAAAAAAAATTAAAAACAATTACCTGCTTTCTGACACTGTACAATCTTTTCCTGGACTGTGTCCGCCATTTCTATGAGAAACCGGCTCTCTTGAATCATCTGTTACAAAATAAACATCAAAAAGGTGGTTGTCAGAATCCTTGAACTGGCTCATTGGGAAGACGACATACAGAGAGACCCACATGATACCTCCAGTAAAAGTAAGCCATAGTCTCACCACAACAGATGGGAGGGAGAAGGATAAGCTCTGTTCCAACCCCCATCCATCCTAACACTGAGGCTAGTGTCACCTTCCTTATGATTACTCTCTTGTGTAACATGCTTGGCACACAGTGGGCACCAAATAAGTAGCTGTCAAATAAATGTATATACATTCCTTATGTCCCAGGTCATATTCATAAATACCTAATTCCACTCCCTTAACATCAAAGATTACTGCAATATCAAGGCAAGTGGTATTGGAACATAATAGCAATGAGAACCAGAATAGGGTTTTTTATCCTTCCAGAGGCAGCAAAGTCACCTTTAAAAATATTATCTGCTCCATTTTATCCTCCCTGTCTCTCCCCCACCCCACTCCCACCAAAAAAATGAAGTATCTCCTATCTTCTCCGAATTCTCTCAAGCAGCACTCAAAGGTGGGCTTGAAGTCCCACTCAGCTACCAGTAGGTTCTGGTCCTTCTGATCTCACTCCTTCCTAAGTACCACTTCCAGAATCATCATCCAAAACTACAGTACTAATTCCTGGCTTTGTCATTTTCTCCCTTGCTTACTGAATGAAGTAAAATTTTTCTAACCTAGAACTATGGTGTTCCAGTTCCCCTAAGTCTCAGTTGACATGGATGAATCACGCTTCTCTAAACACACCCTACTTGTTCCTCCTCCCACACATTTCTTTCTATTAGGGAAACTTTCTTAAGCCATCTGCCCTGATCAAAATCCTGCCAGGCCTCAAAGCTCACTTCAGTGCCCTCTCCTCTATTAGTTTCCTGATTTCCCCTTCTGTCTCCTTCTCACTCCCCATATTCCCAAAACATTCTATTTTTTTAAATCTGTTCATGGAATTTTTTTATTTTCTATCTTATGATTTATTCTTTACCTATATTATTTCCATCTTGTTACTTCTCCAGTAAATTGTAATTCCAGTAGAGCAGGGACTCAATCTTATTCAGCTTTGTATTCCCAGATGCATCCATCCATTTACATAATCACTTTTTTCCCCGTTTTGCTTTTGTGATACTTATTTCTTCTCTCTGTCTGCTACCCACATATGTGTGTGCAATAAAACATTTTATTTATTACTGACCACTTCTCAAACTTGTAATTATCTTTTTGAACTCCCATCTCTCTTTTTGTCTCTAGATTTCTCCACTCTTATTTTTCCTAGGCTTCCTCATTTTTCTGTAATTTTGTATGCTCTTAATTCTCTTTCAAATTAAGTACTGAAAAATAAGCATAAAGCTTTTAATAGGATTACCCCTGTAGAAATATAATACTCAAACATCAGAAAGTAAAACAAATGTTAAAACTTTATTACATGCTTATTTGAGGTAAAATAAATTTAGGATCAAAACATACTCCAAAACCTTATAGTTCAAGTTCTTCTCAAAAGCCCCCAAGTAAATATTTGTTAACCCCATGGTATAAGTTGTTTCTGTTTTTCCCATTGTCTAATAAACGTCATAAAGAGATAATCGAGTATAATTTTACCTCAAAACAAGCTTCTGTTTGAGATTCCTCAGAAATAACCAGAAATCTTTTAGTAATAAAAGTCTCAAATTGTGTCCTCACATATCTTATCATTAATATTCTCAGAACATAAAATCATTGCTCATATGAAATTGTTTCATAAGGGGATTTGATTTTTCTCTCTGTCAACAGCTTCTATTGTATTGAGAATTATAAATTTATTCTATTTTCTGCAGTCAGCTTTCAATTATTAGTAGCTATAGAAAAAACAAATGAGATGAATAGCTAAAATGTACCAATAATCCAAACCACAATTTAAGTCAAAAATTTCAAATTTTCCTCTCAACTAAGTAATTTATCTAAGTTGTCAGGGAGAAAAAATGGTCGATTTGAGTTTCACCTCCTTCCAAGATCTCTAAATGATACTGATGGAAATAAAATACAAAGCGCAAAAGCCAAGCAGAGAAGGTGAGAAGATGTCCTCAGATAATCCCTGAGCCGGGAAGTCAGCACGACTCAGCCATGACGGCTGGGTTGATTCAGTCGATAGAATCTGGCAGTGGCCTGATTTACATATCTGATGTCTCAGCCTGAGCTGCTAGTTGCCTTTGCCTGTTGTAGTAATACAAAGAGCTTTTCTCTGGTTCTGTCACATGAATATCTCCTAATGGATCTTATTTCCTTGTCAGGGCTTTGTCTCTAAAAGAATAGAGGACTTGCCCAGATAAAGGTTGACATTACTTTATGCATTAGATGTATCCAGAGCAGGGGTGTGTAAAGTTACCCTTTAAGAGTAAAATTATGTCTTTAAAAAGAAAACTTTACTGAAGGGGGCAGTGATACTGTTACTCAAAGATGGATTAAATTGTCCAGCTTTTGTGAAGAAACTATCCTTCCAGCTCTTACCAGTAAGAAGTTTAACTAATTGCCCAGAATCATTGCAAAGTCAATGTAATTATTTAATAATACTGAAAAGATGCACTTTCGTCATATTAGGACTCAAAAATCTTGCATAGATTCCCATTTTATCCTGAATTAGACCTAAATTCCTAGAACCACAATCTTTCTACTTAGAAGTTATCTTAAAGACAGTCTATCATGGACAACCACATTTTATAGTTGAAAACCCTGAGCTAAAACTTAGCTTGCTTAAAGCCACACAACTAGCTAGTGAAACAATTTAGACTAGAATCTAGGCATTCTTGAGGAGCAGACCATATTAAAGTGTAGAATTCCTATTGCAAGTGCAAGTTGGTAATAAACAATAAAGTAACATTCATCAAATTAAGCATCATGAAAATAAATTTTGCCATGACTGCTTTTCCCTCCAAGTCTAATTCACAACATGCATCAATCATGATAAACATTTTTTCATATGAAACATAGGAAGAAATGTATTTACTTGAGTCCTCTGTTTTTTCAGGAAGGAGTTAGGAACTTTGGAGAAGCTATTGCTTGAGAAAATGTGAGTCAATAAAAAGCTAATCTACTCTAGACTTTTTTTGTCCTCTCCTTTTCAGAACACTGGAATAATTCCTCTAGCTCTTACTTTCCTTCTAAGCAAAAAAACTAGGTTTCGATTCTATGGTTCTGCAGTGGCTCATCTTTTCAGATCATTTAAAACAAGATGACTCTTATTAAACTTGGTACATTTGTAAATCAGATTGCTCTTACATATATATTTGCTAACTAGAATGAAGATTATTTCCTTTCATTCTCAAGTTCCTTAAATATTTAAAATGAAACAAATAAAAGCATTGCTAATAGATTGGCATGTTGTTTTTAAGCAATCAAGCCTGTCAGTGTGGTCAACTCTCGGTCATACAGAAACAAGTGTAAAGTCAGAATATTTGCAAGTTCACTGGAAGTCCACTGCCTTTGGTGTATGCAACAGAGCTCTCTGTCCTGGGACTAATGCATCACATTTGCAAGCCTGATTTGTAATGGCGCAGGACAAGTGAACTTGCACACAGCAAGTCAGAGGACGTTTGTCTCCACATTCACAATGGTGACAAAATCTACTTCAGGGGGCCCTTTTGGCATAAACAGATCATTTTTTTTCTCTTGTTGTTTTGTTCCCCAAACAGTTGTCAGCTATACCTTGAGTAGTCATTAGAAATATTTGTTTTTATCCAGCTGTCATTACGATTTAACTCCTTCATAAAATATCCAGACGAGTAGCCTTAGTAAACCTTCTCCAGAATTTTCAGGCCAATTTGACTACCTTACTACCTTTAACCAAAAGTGTTACAAAGCCTGAGGATTCAAGAATGCAAAGCCAGCTTTGAGTATGCATGGACAAAATTCCACAAAAAAAAGCCAACCTGAAATACTTGCTTATGGATATGTATCTCTGATATCCATGGTCCTAGAGATCCTGGTACCAAGTAGAAATTTTGCCACTCCTCAAGATGCTGATAATTTTCCCCTTACACAGAAAATGTGTCCAAAGACATTGCTGTACCCACATGTGAAGGAAGTTTCCATACCCCAAGAATACAGCATCTTGTTTTTAAACACCGAGCTCTGTTTGGGCACATGCCAGCAGACAGTTCTTTTTTTAGGTTCTATTACTATACAAGCAAAGATACTTCTTGAAATGCAAACTAATAGAGTTCCACACAAACTTCACAATAAGAGACAGTGATGGAATGAGACTATCTTTGACTGAATCCAATTTTAATTTAAATGGATTTCAATAAGCAAAACTAAATCGGGGAACTATAGACATAACTACAACTCTTTCCCATCCTGAGGCTGAATATATACTGGTTATAACACTGATATAACAGAATGTATTTAAGCCAACCATTATGCCTGGCTTAACTGTAATACTTACTAGTGTATTCATTCCATTGCAAGCGTGATTAGACAGCAATTAGCTCTTTTTTGCTAGATTCCTGCTCACTCTAGCACTATCAACTGCTCTCCAAATCACCCCCAACTGACTTAGTAAAAGATTAAATAACCCTTGACTTATGTTCTCTAGATTGTTTTGATTTCCTTTTTTTAACAACAAATTTAAAAAAAATTGTTCTTACCATAGTAAAGTTTTAACTTTTATGTTAATGTTAAATAAGGTAGCACAGAAGTCACCTTGGAGAATGCTTTGGGCTTATTTCTTACAGTTGCAACCTCCTGTAGCTATTCCACTTCAGAATGATATATTTAAGATATTACCCAAATATTTTTCATAACAACTTAAAATAATGGAAATGATCAAATATATTAGGAAAATACTTCTTGACTGCATGAAAAATTAGAAAGGTGAGAACACTGAAAAGGAAAAGCTCGGCCATCTAAAGAAGAAAGTATATAAAGTCAGATAATATTTTTCTTTCAAATGTATTTGGAAATAAAATTCTGCTGAGTACCAGGTGGCAGAGGTGGTAGAAGAAGTGTGTTATAAGTCACTGTGAAAAGTCTATCATAGGACTAAATGATCTAAGACTCCAGCTAAGGACATAAAATACCATGTGGTCAACTCTCTGAACACTGCGTGTGACTACTTCCCTTTTTAGGTGTAAGTCCTCCTTTCCCATCAGGGTTGCCCATTCCTCAAGGACAGAAGTTTTGCTTCATACTATTTCTTTCTCTAGCACCTTGCACACTGCCTTGCACATAGTAGGCATCCAAAATATTCTTGTTTAGTTGAATAATTAAAAGCCTAAAGACATATACAAAATGGCATATCAAATGAGAAAATGTTATTTTACAAGTGGCAAATATATGTGTTCCTACACATTTTCCTATTTCTCTTGAGTTACAGAACTGTCATTCGTTCTATCATGACTATCTGTGCTGATTCCGTCTCTGCTTATTCATCTTTGGTTACACAGAATAAAACGTAGAAATGTGACTAGAGTAAAACATTAGGGCTGGAGCTAAGTCTACATGCATAAAAACACGATTGCAGAATGAAAAAAGTCAAACCAATTCAAACAAACTAGTTTTGATAGTGCCCTACTAAAATTACAAAATGTTTTCCAGTGTAATCCCCTGCTATTACAACTCC